>NC_000022.11:38558048-38709564 GCF_000001405.40 Homo sapiens | reverse complement strand
CCCTATTACCTTAGACAAGAAGTTCCTTTGCTTTGTGCTTCATTTCCTCTTATGCAAATAGAGAGTACTGGAGGTAAAAAGGAAGCATCTGTAAAACTGCTTGGAAAGTCAAGCATATTATGGCCACTAAGGTCAGAATTAACATTCACTTTGTACTTTTATGTACTCCAAACAGTTCTGCAGACACTAAAGAATCACTGTAACTGAGACACATAAGCAGAAAAGTTCAAAAAGCGGGGAAAATGTGCTCTAAATAATTTCTTTTTTTTTTTGAGACAGAGTTTCACTCTTGTCGCCTAGGCTGGAGCACAATGGCACGATCTTGGCTCACTGCAACCTCCGCCTCCCAGGTTCAAGCAATTCTTCTGCCTCAGCCTCCCAAGTAGCTGGGATTACAGGCGCCTGCCACCACTAATTAGCGCCCGGCTAATTTTTTGTATTTTTAGTAGAGATGGGGTTTCACCATGTTGGCCAGGCTGGTCTCGAACTCCTGACCTCAGGTGATCCACCCGTCTTGGCCTCCCAAAGTGCTGGGATTACAGGCGGCAGGGCCACCGCACCCGGCCCAATAATTTTTAAAAATAAAGTGAAAGGAAAACTATGCTCACCTGATCCCTGCCCAATGACATATATGGTCTCTCCGCATCCCTCGTCCATCCTCTCCCACATCTGCCGAAGTAGGCTGTCATACTGCTCTGATGTAGGGCTCACTAGAACCAGCTAGAAAAGAAACCAACAGCCTTAGGACCACACTTGCTAGAAGAGCACCACAGCCAAAGCTGATCAATATAGCCTAACCAAAGATCCTGACTGAACCCCATAGCACCCTCATCTAAAAAGGCTGCACAGCCCCTTCATGCCCTCTCTGCTTCTCCTGAAGTAGCCTTTGAGCCTCAGGCCTTATATGAGCCAAATAATATACTACAATGTGTATGTCTGAGCCATAACCCATGGTAAAGAGGGCACAAGCAGCCTGCCTCCTGCTGCTTAACAGGAAGGGCAGGACCCAAGTGACTGAGAATATGGCACTGTGGATAGAAAGCGCAGTGCTTTCCATCTACATGCCAAAGTCTTCTACCTGCAGTTGGCATCTGGAAGCCCACAAGACATATACCTCATATACCTCCATGCCCTCCACCCACAGGCCAGTGGCTTCCAGGATAACAAAAGAATTCTGTTCTATCTTGTCTTAGCTATATTGAATATTTGGGAATGAAAACTGCCTGCAAGACTCATCTTCATCAACAAAGCACCATCACCATTACCACTACGAGGAGTATTAGCACCGTCATTTTGCAAATGTCTGCCAATAACATTGAAGTGTCAACCATTTACTTGGGTAAGCCATTTGGCAATCAGACCCCATTCTCTAACCACTCCTGTGTGACCTTGGACAAAGAATTTAACCACTCTGAGTTTCAGTTTTTCAATCTATAAAACGGAGCTAATACTACCTGCATCCTAAGGCCACTGTAAAGAGCAAATATAATAACATGTAAAGCATCTAGTCCACAGCTCAATAAATGTGAAACTACAAGGTTTTCTTCACCCAATCATTCCCAGAAAAACCTTGTTGGATGAAACTAGCCACCACTATTCACTAAGTGTTTCTCCCTTTGGAAGCTCTCGGAGCCTTAGGTCTCCACATTTTCTATCGTAAGGACATGAACCTTTCGCTTCTAATCTGTTCCTCCGGAATCAATCTATTCAACCCAACCCTTCTCTCCCTCCACACCATCACTTTTTCTTTTTGATATCATCGATATTAATATACATATGATTTTTTTTAATTGTAAGGAGGACTTCCCCAGCTATGTGATGAAATAACACTTCTAGGAATATTAAATGAGCTGGTCAAGAAATGAAGGTACTACCGTCTTTGCAACTCTGCCCTGCAATTTCCTATCATGTTTCTTCAGCACCTTGACCATGTGTTGACATCCAGTTTGTTTGCTCTTGAGTCAGGTCCATAATCTTGTAACTTCCTGAGTTGACTCATCAGAGCTTGTAATTGTAACCTGGATGTTTCCTGGGTCTTTTACATCGTCCTGGCCATCCCTCTCTCTAAGTTTGGCCATCCTCATTATGGCCTTACAGGCACAAGACAGGACCAACTTTGACAGGCTAGCTGGCTTCCAAGTGCTCACCTGAGACTACAATGGCAAAGAGCAGTTGAAAATAACTTGCTTAGGTTGCAGGGAAAGTTCCTCCCCAGTTTAGGACCAAGTTTCATGCAAATTTGCCGCCATAAACTATAAAAAGTCACAAACATTTTCAAAGCTGGATAAAATGTCTATCGTAACTATCCTACAAATGTAAGTGGTGGTATTGGTGTTCTATCTTTCACCCACTGCTATTTAATCTGCACAGGAAATTAGGAACTATCTCGTTCACTTCAAACATTTACTGAGTCTCTAGTATGCATCAGGCACTATTAGGTGTCTTCTTAAATATTTCTAATTTTTACAACCCATCTGTACTTTCTTAAGATGAGGTGGTTGGAGAACTGAAAGGTTAAGAAACTTTCCCAACGTCACAGAGCCTTTCGATGGTAGGGCAGGAAAGGGAACCCAGCCCTGTCTGACTCCCAAGTTGGCATTCTTTCCCTAAGGAACGTTAAGCACCTTCAAAACACCAGTCACATCTTGTATTTACTTTTCTATTCTTCACAATGTCAAGCCGTTGGCGAGGCCTTAATTCCTGCCTACCTTCTCGACAGCTCAAAAAACACGGTTTTAAACGTCCTTCACTGCTCCACTCATACAAGATGAGCTTCCACTCACAGGATAGCGAGACTAAGGAGCCTGACCATCTTTCCATTTTGTTTCGGGTGGCCTCGAAAAGTAGACATTCTCGGACATGCTCCTCCCCAGCTGAGCGACTACTTTCTGTTTCCTTTCCCGAGTCTGGGAAGAGACGCGGCGGCCACCCTGCCCTGGCCTCCGACTACCTGTCTTCATGAGCGTCTCGGCCCCCTGCCCGGGCCCCCTCGCCCCTCTGCTGTCCCGCGCGGTCCAGGGAGAGGAGACTCTCGGTCTCCGAATCCCCTCAAGTGGGGACCCGAAGAACGGGGAGGGGCACTGAGCGGGGACAGGGAACGCGCGGAGCGCAGCTGGCATCGGGCGCCCCCGTTCCACGTGGCAGAGCCGAGGGGTTACGATCTCGGCGGGAGACGGGAGGGCGGGAGGCTGGGTTGGCGACGCGGGGGAGCCAAGGTGGGTGCGGGGACCATGGGGACGGCCCCTCGCGCCGCGAACCCCCGCACGTCCCGGAGACTAGCAGGTGGGCGGGCTCGGCCCCTTCTTCCCGTTCCGCGCTCCCCGCGGACAGGGCGGCCGCTGGCCCCGCCGTCGCCCGGGAGACTGCTCGGCCAGCCGCCCGCTCCCCTCAGCGCCCGCCGCCGCCGCCCGGGCCTACCTTGCTGGTGAGGTCCAGCTCTGGCTCGCCGTTGAGCGCCTCGCCGTCCTCGCTGCAGTCCGAGTCAAAGCCGCCGTGGAGTCGGGCGGCGGCCGCCGCGGCCCTGGCCGCCCCCGGGGAGCTGGGCTCGGGGGCGAACATAGAGGCCGGGACCGGCGAGTCCATCGCGGAGCGACTGCGCTCCGTCGCCATCTTTAATAACTTAGGCTAATTCGTAGCCGGCTTCCCTCCCTCCCAGGCTCATTTGACTAATCTATGCACAGAGCCCCGCCCCGCTCCTTATCGGAATAATTTATGCAAAACTCCAGCCGCGTACTGGGTGACACGTACCTCTAGCTAAGAAACAGTCGACTAGGCCTCTCAGCCACCAATCCCTGCAGAGCTTTCAAGTACCTAATGAATAATTAATGAGGCCCAAATCCCAACAACAAATGTCTGAGACGTCACGCGCCCTGCTCCCAGCTTGGGAGGGGGCAGTACCGAGTCCCCGCTACCCGCCTGAAGCCTTCCCGCCAACGGAAGCAGAGAAGTGTCTGACTGACACAGCAGCCATCCAATGAGGAGAGAAATACAAACAACGTTACTCGTCAACGCCCCTTCACTCTCCTTGTTTCCAGAGGCGGTACTAAGCCTGCAAATCTTACTGCAAAACAGTAGGCGCTGTAAGCCTTCCGATGACGGACAAGGGCAGGACCCAATCGAGTCATAGAACAGGTCCCGCGCCTGGACCTGCTCATGGAGATAGTAAACTGCAAAATGAGCCTCCCACTCGATTCAGTGACTGAGGCAGTTGCTGGAACGCCGATGTCCAACGTGCTGGCATGCTCCAGGCAACTTTAATAGTAGGATCGATGCTGTAAGTTCCAAGAGTTGTAATACTATAGCAGCCAGAGTGAGGCAATAATTAAATGCTGACCTTAGGGAGAATTCTCCATTCACTGCCTTTGCGGAGGCAATCACACGAACTAAAAACAGAGGCAAGCAGCTAAAATTAAAAGCCAAAAAACACCTCACCACTTTTGTGGTGAACTGCTAAACCGAAATCTAGGGTCTCATAAGGTAGTTTCCTATGGATTATTTTTCCAGTGTCATCAGTTGTGAAAAGCCCCAACCCAAAATGCCATCAACACACGTTTTAGTGTCTTGAATTCCTGTTTCAAAAGCCGGAAAAGCCTAGGCCGTCATTGTTTGGCGAAATTAGGGATTAACCAACGTCTATGAATGTCGGCCTTGGCCACTCGAACCAGGCATCAAGCAAACAAGAGCATGTTTGAGAAGATAAGGAATCCAAGACTTAGGGTTTGGACCTAAACCCTAAATCTTTAGTGAGCAAGTGGCAGGATTGAAAATGGCTTTCAGTTTTGGGGATCTACCTGAGAAGAAAGAGACAGTCTCTTCTTGTCCCTGTTTTCCACTACTATCAAGTCTTATTTGCACAAACACAGCTGGGAATCTTGGACAGGAAGTCATCTGATTCCAATGGTCTTGATACTGTTCTTATGTGCTTTTTAATTTCTTCCTTGCCAAATTGCTCACCTCCATCCTATATGGGCCGGGAGCAATGGCTCACACTTGTAATCCCAGCACTTTGGGAGGCTGAGACGGGTAGATCACCTGAGGTTAGTAGTTTGAGACCAGCCTGGCCAACATGGTGAAACGCTGTCTCTACCAAAAATTAGCTGGGCGTGGTGGCATGTGCCTGTAATCCCAGCTACTCTGGAGGCTGAGGCAGGAGAAGCCCTTGAACCCGGGGGGGGGGGGGGGGGGCGGAGGTTGCAGTGAGCCAAGATCACACCACTGCACTCAAGCTTGGGCAACAGAGCGAGACTCCCACTCACAAAAAAACAAAAAAACAAAAAAACAAAAAAAAAAAACAACGAAGTACTGGAGGCCTGAACTCATAACTGGCTTCTAAAGGAGGGGCACAGTTTTGTGGGACTGAGCCCTTAATCAGTGGGATCTGACAGTATCTCCAGGTAGACAGTGTGAGACGAATTGAATTGAACTAGAGGACATCCAGCTGGCGTCCCCTGCAGCACTGATGGGTTGCTGGTGGGGATAAATCCACACATTTTGGTGACCAGAGGTGTTGTGTTGTATTGAGAGTAGAACATTTTAAAAAACAGATTTTGGCTTTTCCTTTATGGCCCAGATTGATAGCATCTCACCAACTGGCTCTTCCAAAGAGTTCAAGTCGGCCGGATGCGGTGGCTCACGCCTGTAATCCCAGCATTTTGGGAGGCTAAGGTGGGCAGATCACCTGAGGTCGGGAGTTCGAGACCAGCCTGACCAACATGGAGAAACCCCGTCTCTACTACAAATACAAAACTAGCTGGGTGTGGTGGTGCATGCCTGTAATCCCAACTACTCAGGAGGCTGAGGCACAAGAATCGCTCGAACTCGGGAGGCAGAGGTTACAGTGAGCCAAGATCGAGTCATTGCACTCCAGCCGGGGCAACAAGAGCGAAACCCCATCTCAAAAAAAAAAAAAAAAAAAAAAAAGAGTTCAAGTCCAGAATGTGCTGACAGCTAATAGCGAACTAAAAAAATACCCTTTGCACTATAGCCTTTACCCAGAAAAGAACTCTCAGAGCAGGTACTTTTGAATTGAACAGGGAACTCTATCATGACATTTTATAGAAGGAATTCCTTACCCTACCCATCTACACGTCTTTCCGAAGAAAAGTTGGAGCCTAGGTTCAAATTCTGTATTCACTATGTACTGGGTTCACATATCATATGTATGTGACCTTTTAAGCAAGTTAACTTCTTAGAGCTTGTTTTCTCCTTTAAAGAAATAAAGTATCTAATAGGATAAAATCAGCTGTAAATGAACTAATATATGTAAAGCACTTAGAACACTGCTTGCTGCAGAGCAATCCCTCAAACTATTCATATGTAAATATAACCATAGCCGTGGGTAGCTTACAAATTACTTTTTTTTTTTTTTTTTTTTTTTGAGATGGAGTCTCTGTTGCCCAGGCTGGAGTGCAGTAGCACGATCTCGGCTCACTGCAAGCTCCGCCTCCCAGGTTCACGCCATTCTCCTGCCTCAGCCTCCCGAGTAGCTGGGACTACAGGCGACCGCGACCACGCCTGGCTATTTTTTTTTTTTTTTTTTTTTTTGTATTTTTTAGTAGAGATGGGGTTTCACCGTATTAGCCAGGATGGTCTCAATCTCCTGACCTCATGATCCGCCCGCCTCGGCCTCCGAAAGTGCTGGGATTACAGGCGTGAGCCACCACGCCCGGCCACAAAAATTTAATTCAAAAGTTGGCTGGACAGAGCCAGAGGGCTCCTCACCCTGAGGCAGGCACTCCAGCGTGTTAAATCATAACGTTGAGGGTAATGGTGTTAAAATAGTCACGTTTGCCAGGTGCAGTGGCTTACACCTGTAATCCTAACACTTTGGGAGGCCAAGATGGGCAGATCACCTGAGCCCAGGAAAGAGTTCGAGACCAGTTTGGGCAACGTGATGAAACCCCACCTCTACAAAAATAAAAATAAAAATTAGCCAGGTGTGGTGATGCATGCCTGTAGTCCCAGCTACTCAGGAGGCTGAGGCAGGAAGATCGCTTGAGCCCAGAGGCTGTGGGTTAGCCGTGAACGCGCCACTGCACTCCAGCCTGGGAAAGAGAGCAAGACCCTGTCTCAAAAATAATAAAACTTCAGGCCGGGCGCGGTGGCTCACGCTTGTAATCCCAGCACTTTGGGAGGCCGAGGCGGGTGGATCTCAGGAGTTCGAGACCAGCCTGGCCAACATGGTGAAACCCCGTCTCTACTAAAAATACAAAAATTAGCCGTGCGTAGTGGCAGGAGCCTGTAATCCCAGCTACGCGGGAGGCTGAGACATGAGAATCGCTTGAGTCCAGGAGGTGAAGGTTGCAGTAAGCCGAGATCGCCCCGTTGCAATTCAGCCTGGGCGACAAAAGTTAAACTCCATCTTAAAAAAAAAAAAAAAAAAAAAGGCCGGGCACGGTGGCTCACTTCTGTAATCCCAACACCTTGGGAGGCCAAGGCGGGTGGATCACCTGAGGTCGGGAGTTCGAGACCAGCCTGACCAACATGAAGAAACCCCTCTACTAAACACACAAAATTAGCCGGGCGTGGTGGCGCATGCCTGCAATCCCAGCTACTCGGGAGGCTGAGGCAGGAGAATTGCTTGAACCCGGGAGGCGGACGTTGCGGTGAGCGGAGATCATGCCATTGCACTCCAGTCTGGGCAACAAGAGCGAAACTCCGTCTCCAAAAAACAAAACAAAACAACTAAATTTGAAGTGCAACAGTTTCTTCTCGTTTTTCCAGTTTTACAGAAAACCCAAAAGAAGGGCAGCTAAGGTGGATAATGATGCCTACCACGCACCCTAAGAGTAGGTAAAGGGGAAAAAATGAAATCCACGTGGGACTGCGAGTAGTTTTCGCCTTTTCCCGAAGACGCACACAATGCGCTTAGGTATACCTCGCGCAGAGGTCTCTGCAGAGAGGAAAGCCACCGTGAGAAGAGCGGGGAGCCCCCAGGCAAGAAGGCAGTGGCTTGTGTGTAGTGAACCGAAATGCGACACCAAGGAACTGCAACAGGATTCTCCTTTCCACTTGAAATGTGACTCCCAGCGAGACACCTACCCTTGACGCTCCCTGGACAGTGCGGCACGGTCGGGCCCACTAACCAAGGCAATTTGCGCCCGACCGAATCAGGTGCTTCAAAATCCCCCCTGGTGAGCCGCGCGTTAACCACACATAAAACAGTCAACGCAGAAGGAGCGAGAACGTTCGGCCGAAAAGCCCGGCACAGAGAAGGGAGGGGTGCTGAAAGCCGCGGACTGCAGCCGCTGGCCTGGCTGCCGCCCCGAAACAACGCCCACGCCCGGGAGAAGGGCAGGCTGGCGTCCAGGTAGGACTCCCTCAGGCCGCCCCGCCAGGGGCCGCGCCGAGCGGAGCGGCTGGACCCCAACCCTGCCGGCCGCCGCCGAGGTGCGCAGCCCGCAGCCCCACACCCACGGCCTTTGCAACACCCCAACCGTTGAACTGCGCCCCTACACGCCCGGCGTCTGCGGCTCCCAGGCCGGTGCCGATGACGTCAGACTTACGTCAGGCGTGACGCCACGGCTGGGAGGAGTGAGGACGGCGCGGGAGGGCGTTTCCGGAGCACGCGCCGGGCGGGGGCCGCTGACGTCGGGCTCAGGTGCGCGCGCCCGCCCGCACGGCCCAGTTGGCGGCGCGCACTCCAGGTGGCGGCCGGCTGCGGTGAGGGGACCGCCAGCGGCGAGCAGTCCCGGCGGCCCTGGGGTCTGCGGCCGGGGGCGCGGCGGGAGGGCGTCTGGGCCTGCGCTCACGTGACGGGCGGGGAGGTTTGTGTAGGGGCTGCGAGCCGGGTGGGCGCGGGCCCGGGAGCGCGAGGCTGACTGTCCGGCCCCACCCCTCGCGGGCCAGCCCTTCGCCGCGCGGAACCTTCCCTCGGGCAGGGGCCGGCCCCGCCGCTCACTTCCCGCGCCCGCTCGCCGCTGACCGGAGTTGTCTCCTCCTCCGCAGGGCCGCGGCCAGAGGGCTAGAATCCGCGCCTTCCGAGGGAGCCGCGCCCTGCGGGCCCCACCGTACCCGAGGGGATGGAGGGCTGCCCCCGAGGCCCCCGCGCGGCTCGCGGTCCCACGCCTGCCGGCCCGCGCTAGCTACTCGACTCGTGCGCTAAATTTATCCGTCACCCAGGCCTTGTCTCCCGAGTCATTGGCGTCGTGGTTCAAAAGAAATGGAAGAAAAGGAGCGATGTGACCGATTGTGTTCGGTCCTCCTGCTTTGAGGCCTGGCATTTGCAGAGGGAAACAGCAAGAAAATCGTGGGGATTTTGGAGGGGGGTGGGAGGGAAGGGTGGGGAAACGGAAACAAGGTCTTACATTTTATGTGTTTTTTTAAATTCTGCACTTTGACAGTGGTAGCAAAATAAAAGTAATCCAAAAGTTATTTTTCTATTGAGAAGAGAGAAGAGGTGGGTTTTATTTTTTTCCTTTTGATTCCAATCTTTTCTCCCAGTGACAAAGCATAAATCATGGACACCAGAGAATAAGGTGGACCTCAGGAATCCGGAAAAGACTGAGAAGCTTACATTCTTCCTCTAGAGGGAAGAGTGGGGTGTTTATAGCCATCTCTGGAACCTAAAACAAAAAACATGAGTTGTGTGCCATGGAAAGGAGACAAGGCCAAATCTGAATCATTGGAGCTGCCCCAGGCAGCACCCCCACAAATCTACCATGAGAAACAGCGCAGGGAGCTTTGTGCCCTCCACGCCCTCAATAACGTCTTCCAGGACAGCAATGCCTTCACCCGGGATACGCTGCAAGAGATTTTCCAGAGGTAGGGGACCCTTCTCCTTGGCATCTTGATACTGATATTTCTGGATTTCTGTGGGTGGGGCAGTGTCTCAGCTTCATAAACCTTCAAAGCTGTAGGTATTAGCTAGATTGCGTTAGCAGGTATAAGGGACACAAGACATGAAAAGATAATCACTACCATTTATCAGGCACTTACGGTGGGCTAGGAAAGTACTCATAGCCTCAGCTGTGTTTTCTTGAGTGATCTTCAACAGTCCCGTGGAATACGTGTTAATATGTGATGTTATTTCCATTTTACTGATGAAGACACATTTAGTTCAGTACCTCGCCCAAGATAACAAGACTTGGAGCTGGGGTTGAATTCTTATATCTATGCTGTTGACCACTATGCTATAATGCCTGTAAAGCTCTGCTGCCGAGGAGTTTACAGTCTAGAAGTGGGACTAGATACGTACACGTTCAGTCACCTGTCTTTAAAGGTGGAATGTGGTGGGTACCACAAGCAAGATGTATAAACAATGCTCAGCTTTTCTGTGAGGCCATGTGCTGGCAGTAGTGCTGTTCGTACATTGCTTTGTGAAGCTCTCCCAACAGTCATTTCACTGCCTGTATTATGCTGATAGGCAGAAAGGTCAGGTAATATGTCCAAATAGCTTCTAAATAGCAAAGCTATAATTTGAAGTTGACTCCAGATCTCTTCTTTCTCCTTTATTCTAGATGGCCTTTCTTACCCACTTAGAACAAATGCCACCCCACAGGTTAATAGAGGTTCAGGTTTTGGCCAAGTACGGTGTAATCCCAGCACTTTGGGAGGCCGAGGAGGGCAGATCACCTGAGTTCAGGAGTTTGAGACCAGCCTGTCCAACATGGTGGAACCCCGTGTCTACTAAAAATACAAAAATTAGCCCGGTGTGGTGGTGCACGCCTGTAGTCCCAGCTAGTCGGGAGGCTGAGGCAGGAGAATCGCATAAACTTGGGAAGTGGAGGTTGCAGTGAGCCAAGATTGCACCACTCTGCACTCCAGCCTGGGTGACGGGTCTCGGAAAAACAAAAAAAGAAGTTCAGCTTTTTTCTCTTTGCTTTGATTTTCTAGAATTACTTTATTAAAGGTTTTGAGAGTCAGTTCTGTGGTGTCTTAATGGACACAACAGCATGGCTGCAGTCCATAGCAACTCAGGTGATGATCTTGCCTGATGACCCCGACTAGAAGTAGTTAGGCCCGCGCAGTCCTCGCTGCAGAGAAGCTCAAGCATTCTTCAAGCAGTGCATATTAGCAATTCCAGAAGACCTTTTTCTTACTCTCTTAGCTTGGAAGTGAAATTGTTGCCACATAGGGACCAGAATTACAGCTGGAAGCAACCTATTTGGGGTGATTTGTAAAACACAGGTATGGACCATTTGCCCTGAAAGAGCCAAAGGCCTACTCTTAGGAGAATGTTAATCCCCAGATGCAGACAAAACTATAATGAGAGTAATTATTTTCCAATGCCAGTAGTAACCAGAGTAATGCCTTACCAGAGCTAATATATCATTTGCATCATGGCCATTATCTGGCAGCAAGTAGAATTGACTCTTCAGGACCTGGGGCACTGGGAGATAAAATAATTCGTCTCAGATCATCAGGTCATGTCACTGAAAGGAGGACCCAGTACATGCTTCCTTTTGGCCAGCCATTAGTATTTCTCCTACTCCTAATCAGATATTTGCAAATTATTTCCTGAGCTAAAACTAGGGAGAAGGAAAGGACTCAGGGTGAGTACCTCAATGGCTTAGTACTTTGTGATATGTATGAACAATCTTGCAACAACCTTATCAGTGATGAACTTAGGAAACTAGGATTCATTTTAGGCGATTTGCCCAGTTTCACCTACTAGTAAATAAATTCCAGAAACAAGATTCTGTGTATCCAGTCACACTCTGGTAGAAAAGTTTTCACTTCTGTACATTTGGCCCCTGATCTGACTATGGGAATAATGATAGGATCACTAACACACATGAACACTTGGTGCAAAGCACCGTTCTGAGTGCTTTCCTTGTGTCCACTCAGTCCTCACACTGATCTTCCAAGATGGATTCTGTTGCTGCCCATTTTTCCAGTTGAGGAAATCATGGCACAGAGTTCACAGCTATTGATGGCAGAATTTGGCCCCACGCCTTTTGACTCTAGAACCTGCCCCGCTAACCGCTCTCCTGTTTCTCGAGTACTGGAAGCGCCTGTAGAGTGCTATCAGTAGCTGTTCCTCCAGCTGCTGAGCTGGGCCAGCACTGACGTTCTGGACTGTGCTCATCAAGTGTGTGTGGATGATAACAAGAGTTTCTCAGCTTTGTTCTCCTGAATACAAGAATGCTAAATATTTGCTAAATGCCCACATGGAACTAAGATCCTATTCCTTTTGAAGCTTTAGCAAATTGTACTGCATTCCCCAATTCTAGCAGCATAATATAAAGATCCAAAAAGTGCTGGCAAGCCAGCACATAAGGGCATGTATTCTGTCCCAACTCCAGAAGTGGAATTCTGTGTAGAGTATTTTATATTGAAAGAATGTATGAGTAGGTAGGAACAAAAAATACAGAAGTGTGAAAGGAATCTAGAGGAAAAAGCAAAGGGAGAAGAGGTGAGGGAGAGAAGATGGAATTTTTTAAACAAACATTGACTAGCTGCCTGCAGAGTGCCAGGCACTATGAGGCACCATAGAGAAAACGAGTCGAACAGGCCTCAGCCCCTGAGAAGCACATCTCAGCTATGCTTTAACCAGGCCTTGAGACTAGATTTAAGTGAAGTTAGAACCCTGGCATTCAGAGCAATTAAAAAGTGAAAAGTGATCAATTTGGACCTTAGCAGATATAATTCTATGCTGTTTAAAAGTGTGGCTAGTGAATGGTAGAAATGGGAGGGAAATGTTGATAAGCACTATTTGTTGAGAGGAAGTTCATCCTAGCAGTTGAATTTTAGCCAGAAAAAAGAAGCAAAATACAAAAGCAGGGTGGAGTTTCAATAGAGTTGTGGATGTGAGATGATTCATGCTTACAAGTGAATAGGAACTCAGAGCTGAGCTAATGACTCAACATGGCGGCAACAAGGACAGGAAGAGAGGAGTCAGGTGTGTCAGAGGCTTGGTCCAGGATTTGAACATAGTGGTAACATCTGCAAAAAGAGGTCATTTGTTTAAAAAGCATCTGTTTTCAACCTGTGAAATTGGAGAAAAGATAAACTGGGCAAGTGTCATCAGTGTATATGTATACAGATGTAGATATTAGATCTCATCATTTTATATAAAGAATGTGGGCCAGGCACGGTGGCTCACGCATGTAATCCCAGCACTCTGGGAGGCAGAGGTGGGCACATCACCTGAGGTTAGGAGTTTGAGACCAGCCTGGCCAACATATAGCAAAACCATGTCTCTATTAAAAAAAACAAAAATTAGCTGGGGTGATGGCACACGCCTGTAGTCCCAGCTACTCGGGAAACTGAGGCAGGAGAATCACTTGAACCCAGGAGGTAGAGGTTGCAGTGAGCCAAGATCGCACCACTGTACTGTAGTGTGGGCAACAGAGTGAGACTCCCATCTCTCAAAAAAAAAAAGGGGGGGTATAAGGTTTGAAAAAAAGGGTCATAGAAATCAAATTACATGATGGCAGCTTTGCTAGGTGGTTTTGAAAATGCTCAGGCCTGAAACATTTTCACTAGACTCATCCCAGTTTTTTAGTGATCAGATTCTTACATCTAGTTCTGCATTCCTCTCCCAAATAGGATTTTTCCCCCCACCCGAGACGGAGTCTTGCTCTGTCTGCCTAGGCTGGATTGCAGTGGCGTGATCTGGGCTCACTGCAGCCTCCGCCTTCTGGGTTCAAGGAATCCTCCTGCCTCAGCCTCCTGAGTAGCTGAGAGTATAGACGCCCGCCACCACATCCGGCTAATTTTAGTATTTTTGGTAGAGACGGGGTTTCACCATGTTGGCCAGGCTGGTCTGAAACTCCTGACCTCGTGATCCACCCACCTTGGCCTCCCAAAGTGCTGGGATTACAGGCGTGAGCCACCGTGCCCGGCCTTGGATATTTAATATTAAAATTTAACCACGGCTGGGCTTGGTGGCTTATGCCTGTAATCCCAGCACTTTGGGAGGCCGAGTTGGGTGGATGGCTTCAGTCCAGCAGTTTGAGACCAGCCCGTGCAACATAGTGAGACCCTATCTCTACAAAAAATTTAAAAATTAGCTAGGCATGGGGGCTCGCGCCTGTAGTCCAGCTACTTGGGAGGCTGAGATAGGAGGATGGCTTGAGTCCAGGAGGTCGAGGCTGCAGTGAGCCATGTTCGTGCCACTGCATTCCAGCCTGGGCAAAAGAGTGAGACCTTATCTCAAAAAAAAAAAAAAAAAAAAACTAGGCAAAAAGTAGCTTGGTATCAAGGGAAAAAAATCTAATGAAAGTTGGAAGGAGCAAAGAGATTGGGGATATTGGTGAACAATTAGCATTCTCTACCACAGAGGATGACTATTCCAGCCTCCCCATTACATAGTCCTTGAGCAGGTGGAAGGGGCCACATTTAGAAGTATGGTGGTTATAACTGAGAAAAGTTGTTGTTAAGTATTAACCTCTAGAGACTTGAATTCTCTTGTCCAAGGGCTAGGCAAACACGTAGTAATAATAGCTAACACCTACGGATTACTAATGTGTGCCTAGCTCTTTGACCCATGCCTGATTTAGAAACATCAGGAAGTTCTGAGCCATATTTTCTGATGTCACATCTCTTCAGATCTGATAAGGAAAGAAAGAATTAGGGCGGGGAAAAGAATCTTGATGAAATGTCTCCTATCTCCTTTTTCATTAATATCCAAAATCATCACCATAGTCAGACACAGTGGAAACCATGAGAGAGGAACAAGGACTTATCTGAGGACACAGACAGTGGGGAGACCTGGACTAGAACCCGTCTTTTCACTTTTTTTTTTTTTTTTTTTTTTGAGACTGAGTCTCTCGCTCTCTTGTCCAGGCTGGATTGCAGTGGCATGATCTCGGCTCACTGCAAGCTCCGCCTCCCAGGTTCAGGCCATTCTCCTGCCTCAGCCTCCCAAGTAGCTGGAACTACAGGCGCCCACCACCACGCCCGGCTACTTTTTTGTATTTTTAGTAGAGATGGGGTTTCACCGTGTTAGCCAAGATGGTCTCGATCTTCTGACCTCATGAACCGTCCACCTCGGCCTCCCAGAGTGCTGGGATTACAGGCCTGAGCCACTGCGCCTGGCCCGTCTTTTCACTTTTACATCACTTCACATCTCATGGCTCTAACCTCTGGCTGTGGATGACAGAAGTGAGAGGCTCACTTTGTAGCCCAGAATTTCTATGGAAATCATTAAGACAGTCCCAAACAGGAGTTTGCCAAGGAGTCTCAAGAATACTTTCCACTGGAATCATCAGGATCCCATGGAACTCAGTGGGACTGGTGTGTTGAAATATCCAGAGCACTCTTCAGTATTGTCTTAGGGTAGAGGCTGACCCTAGCCCTGCCACTCACCAGCTGTGCCTGACTGTGCAAGTCACCATAACCTTTGCACCTCAGCTTCCATGTTTATGGTATCTCAAGATGGCTGGAAGTGATAAAGCCCATAAAAGCAGCTAACACAGTGGCCACTTGATTACTGTTAAAAGTACAAGCAAGTGCTGGTGTGGTGAATACGCTGGGTGGGCCCCACTTATTCAAATGACCATTCCTCTAGCATGAGATGGAAGCTACTCAATATTTCCTGTATTCAAATTGCCTAACGTGTTTATTGAGTTGCCAGTGCCTAGCTGTGAGGGATATAGAGTAAAAAACTATCCAGGGATTTAGTGTTTGATTGAACATATATGAAATAACTGAATTCTCCAACAGTCCTATAAAATAGTAATTATTTCCATTTTTACAGGCAAGGTAACAGGCATGGAGATTAAATCCCACAGTTAGTGTTGATCGGTGCTAGGATATGAACTCAGATATGTATGGTCCTCACTCTCCCTCCCTTTTTTACAGAGGATCCAGGGAAGATCCTATGGAAGAGATAGGGTGTGAAGGAGCTGTAGGATTTGGCTTGGAACAGGAAATAGGATAAAAGAATAGAGGCTGCTGGGCACAGTGGCTCAAGAGGGAGGCTGAGACAGGAGAATCAGTTGAGCCCAGGAGTTTGGGGCTACAGTGAGCCACAATCATACCACTGTAATCCAGCCTAGGTGACAGAGGAAGAAAAAATAGAATAAAGGCCATATGATCATGGTGCCTAAAGTGCACTAAGCCCAGTGAGAGGGATATAGCTGGCCAAGTGGGGCCAGGAAGTGTAGAACTGGCCAACCAGGCAGTTGGTACCATTGTCAGTTCCTATATATACAAAGGGAAGTGAATTGATGCCTTGGTGAATTTGGCAGGAACATAGAGGCTGAATTGGTGGAAGGAGCGCTTGGAAGCAAAGTGATCAATTTTTAGGAATCTGTTTCAGAAGTCAAGGTGTGAGGTAAGGAGCCTCTGGTTAGGAGAGAGATGGAGTGGTAATAGGAAAGGATTTGAATCCAAGACAGAAGATGAAGGACAGGGAAGAAAGATCATTGGAAAGCTAGTTCTGTAAGGTACACCTCAAAACAAATGTGTGGTCAAATTTGTTTGGGAACTGAAGCATATTTTATAATCCCCTTTCCTTGAGATTCAAAGTGAAGATTAGCATGTTAGGGACTCCAAGAATTCTGCAGGAAACCCATTTACCTACTTGGTTCATTCAGCTGTTATTGTATTGGATGCCTTCTGGGATCCTCTGTTAATGAACATGGAAATGGCATCTCCAGGAGCACCCTTGGGAAGCGCCGCTCTAAGGTTTGAGCCTGGTAGGGAGTTAGATGGTGAATGAGGTGGAAGACTCAGCATTTTCCTTGTTGGAGCCTTCATTCATGTACTGGTCAGAGACTTCAGTGAAAGGAACAAGAAACTTGGGAAAGGAACCAATTATATCAGGGGCTAGGCCTTCTTTCATATGTGTTCTGTTCTCTTTTTTTCTTTCTTTTTTTTTTTTTTTTTTTTTTTTGAGACAGAGTTTTGCTCTTGTTGCCCAGGCTGGAGTACAATGTCATGATCTTGGCTCACTGCAACCTCTGCCTCCCGGGTTCAAGCGATCCTCCTGCCTCAGCCTCCCGAGTAGCTGGGATTACAGGCACCTGCCACCACACCTGGCTAATTTTTTTGTATTTTTAGTAGAGATGGGGTTTCACTATGTTGGCCAAGCTGGTCTCAAACTCCTGGCCTCAAGTGATCCTCCCACCTCGGCCTCCCAAAGTGCTGGGATAACAGGCGTGAGCCACTGCACCTGGCAGTGTGTTCTCATTTAATCCAAACGTGTGAGTACCCATGGAGAGCCTTTGTCTTTTTAAGCTATGTTTCATCCCTAGTCCTCAGGGATGTAGCTGGCCTCTCTTCTTTTCAAGCCCCCATCCCCTGCCACTCTGATTCTTGGGTCCTTGCTGTAAGACAGCAAGCATAACTTTGGATTCAAATGAATCCACAGTGGAATCCTAGTTCTGTCACTTGCAAGTGCTCATGGGCAGGTCAGTTAAAACCACCAAACCTCAGTTTTATGGACCTATACAATAGAAATAATTCATATCCTCATAGGTTTATTGTGAAGATTAAATGAAATGCAAATTAAAGTACCTTATCATAGTGCTTGGCACAGAGATTTTTCAATAAGTTATAGTTATTATTACAGGTAAGATAAAGTTTGGTTGCAGATTTCTTTGCTAGCCCTGGAGATGAGCATATAAGCCCTTTTAAGAGTCAGTTACTGATGTTTACAGGGAAAGAGAAGGACAACAAAAATAAACACTGAACATTTCAGCAAACATTCCTTGAGCACCTGTCTTGTGCCAGGCACTCTTTAGGCCCCTAGCAGTGTAGCGTTCACAGATAGTCAAGGCCCCTGCTGTCAGTCTAGTGTAGAAAAACAGACCAATGAGAAACACATCTGGTAGTGACAGGGCTGTAATTAAATCAAAAGGTTGATGTGAGGTAGTGACTGGGAGAAACTTATGGTTGGGTGGTCAAGAAAAGGCCTCTCCGGAGGTTGTAGTAAGCTGAGATCACTCCATTGCACTCCAGCCTGGGCGACAGAGCCAGACTCTGTCTCAAAAAAAGAAAAAGAAAAGGCCTCTCTATGGCAGTAACATTTGACACCCAAACAATAAGGAACTACAGAAAGAACATTCTAGACAGCGGGAACAGTGAGTGCATGAGTGCACAGTGAGAAAAAGAGCTTTGTTTTTAGGGAACAGTAAGAAGGTCAGTGTAATAAAAGGTAAGAGATGAGATCTGCAGGACCTTGAGGGCCTTGCATGCCAAAGGAAGTAGTTTAGAGTGTATTTAAGTGCTTTAGGTGCCATCAGAAGGTTTTAAGCAGTGGCAGGAGTATGTTTGTTGTTTTTAATTCTGTGGGTTTTTTTTTTTTTTCTTTTTTTTTGAGACAGGGTCTTACTCTATCACCCAGGCTGGAGTGCAGTCATGGCTCACCACAGCCTTGACTTCCCTGGCTCAGGTGATCTTCCCACCTCAGCCTCCCGAGTAGCTGGGACCATAGGCACATGCCACCATGCCCGCCTAATTTTTGTATTTTTTGCAGAGACAGTGTTTTGCCATGTTGCCCAAGCTGGTCTCTAACTCCCAGGCTCAAGCGATACTCCCACCTTGGCCTCCCAAAGTGCTGGGATTGCAGGTGTGAGCCACCACTCCCGGCCAGGAGCATGGGGTTTTGTTTTGTTTTGTTTGTTGGTTTGTTTTTTGAGACGGAGTCTCACTCTGTCACCCAGGCTGGATGCAGTGGTGACATCCAGCCTCTGCCTCCTATGTTCGGCTCACTGCAGCCTCTGCCTCCTACGTTCAAGCAGTTAGCTGCCTCAGTCTCCTGAGTAGTTGAGACTACAGGCGTGCACCACCACGCCTGGCTAATTTTTGTATTTTTAGTAGAGACGGGGTTTCACCATGTTACCCAGGCTGGTCTTGAACTCCTGACCTCAAGTGATCTGCCCACCTCAGCCTCCCAGAGTGCCGGAATTACAAGCATGAGCCACCGCGCCTGGCCAGGAGTATGTTTTATATTTGAAAAATACCAGTATTGCTGAGTTCAGTGGCTCACACCTGTAATCCCAGCACTTTGGGAGGCTGAGGCGGGTGGATCACAAGGTTAGGAGTTCGAGACCAACCAGCCTGGCCAACGTAGTGAAACCCCATCTCAACTAAAAATACAAAAATTAGGTGGGCGTGGTGGCGGGTGCCTGTAATCCCAGCTACTTGGGAGGCTAAGGCAAGAGAATCACTTGAACGCAGGAGACGGAGGTTGCAGTGGGCTGAGATCGCGCCATCACACTCCAGCCTGGGCGACAGAGCAAGACTCCGACTCAAAAAAAAAAGAAAGAAAAAAAATACCAGTATTTCTGCTGTGCACAGAAAAATTTTAAAAATACAAGATTTCTTAAGTTTTTTAGAGTTGACATCCTTGGCCTAACGTCTTGATTCTTTTCTGGAGATGGCATGTAGTAGCCTCTTGATCATGCACTTTATGTCCTGAGGAACTCGCCACACTTCCCTTTCTCCCCTTCACACGAAGCCCAAAGGTATGCCCCTTGAACCCTTCCTTCAAAATGGCCTTTCCCCAGCTCCTGGCCTGACAAGTTTATGAAGGTAAAATAATAGAATTAGAAATGCCTTCAGCATGGACCTTGTCTTAAAATACAGACTGGCTAAAGAAACCTGGAAGTAAATGGCTTCAAGCTGGGTGGGCAAACCAGTGCTGCAGCTGAGTTTTGTTTGCCTGGCACAAATTTTTTTTCAGTTGATTTATTGGGTATTTTAAGAAAAATTTATTCAAGTACTACACACACACACACACACACACACACACACACACAGAATGCCTTTAGGTGGGTCGTGCATTCCAGTAGGCCTCACTACTTTTTATTGCCTTATATCCAACCCCAGTTTATACATTTATGTCACCTGTCTAGGCTCCTGTATGCCTTTGAGTATTTAATGATTAATGATTACCAAGTTTGCAGGCCTTAACTAGAAAGCAGGAGTGACACCAGTTACTATCCATGCAAATGAAAAGATTGAATCCTATTTTCCAATGTTAAAAAAAAAAAAGGCTTGCATGAGGCAGGAAAATCAGTATCAGGAGGAAGAGCAGAAAGGCTGCAGGAGGCTGGGATTTCATAAGTGAGTCACCTTCATGGAACACTTACAAAATACTTAGGTAGAAGCTGGGGAAATTGCACTTGAATGTGGGGAAACTAACTTCCAGGGGCAGTGATGTAAAGTGCTCTCCATCCCTGGTAGTGCGGGGTCAGGGGGTTCAGGCATCCAGCAAGTCTCAGCCCTCCTCTTTTCACATTGGTAGGTTGTCTCCAAACACCATGGTGACACCTCACAAGAAGAGCATGCTGGGAAATGGCAACTACGATGTGAATGTCATTATGGCAGCACTTCAGACCAAAGGCTATGAAGCTGTTTGGTGGGACAAGCGCAGGTAATCTGAATCAGGCTTGACTTGATGGAGAACAGCACGGTTGTGGTATAAGCTTTTAGTACTTGGGCTCATGGCATGAGTGGGGAGGTAGCCAGTTGTGGTATTACAGCCAGGGAACCTTGGAAAATGGGCTGCATCAGAGCCTGCCACCATTTCTCCCCTGCAGGGATGTCGGTGTCATTGCCCTCACTAACGTCATGGGCTTCATCATGAATCTGCCCTCCAGCCTATGCTGGGGTCCACTGAAACTGCCCCTCAAAAGGCAGCACTGGATCTGTGTTCGAGAGGTGGGAGGGGCCTACTACAACCTCGACTCCAAACTCAAGATGCCCGAGTGGATTGGAGGCGAGAGCGAGCTCAGGTAATCGGCACCTTTTGTGACTAAGTTGCTAGGCTGCTTCATTTCTTAGGTTGGGGACACTGAGCTCATCTCTGGTTATTTGACAAAGGAAATGAAATTCCTGTGCCCTTGGATTCTCTCCCTGCCTTAGAATCATAGTGTCTCGGACCTGACCTTAATCTTCAATGGCGCATCAGTACTTTTAAGTCCTTTTGGTAGGGAAGATGCCCAGCCTGGGATACCAGCCTTCTAGTCTGGTGGGGCTGGCATTGTAACGTTCTCTCTATTTAAGACAACTGAGACAGTGTAGTTGCCAGTTCATAGAAAGGAAGACAAACATGCAGGCCAGGGAGCACTGAATTTCCCCAGGACCAAAGAACATTTGTAAAAGTTCTTTAGAGGCGATTGCTCACGCCTGTAATCTCAGCACTTTGGGAGGCCAAGGCGGGTGGATCACCTGAGGTCAGGAGTTCGAGACCAGCCTGACCAACACGGTGAAACTCTGTCTCTACTAAAAATACAAAAATTAGCCAGGCGTGGTGGCGGACGCCTGTAATCCCAGCTGGTCAGGAGGCTGAGGCAGGAGAATCACTTGAACCTGGGAGGCAGAGGTTGCAGTGAGCCGAGATCATGCCATTGCACTCCAGCCCAGGCGACAAGAGCGAAACTCCGTCTCCAAACAAACCAAGAAAAAGTCCTTTATATACTTTGGGTACTGTTATTCACAGATCCAGCTACTCTTGGCAGTAACTACAAGGATGAGCAAAATTCAGGTTGGAATTTTAACTGGACAGATTGGAGGGTAACCAAATGTGGAACCCTCCAAAACCAGATGACTACAGGGATGTGTTTTGGACTGCCGAGGGTAGAGTGAGGTTTCAGGTGACTTTGTGGTCCTGAGACTGGAATTTGCAACTTGCCAGCATTTCATTTTCTCTATCTCTTTTTCCATAGGAAGTTTCTAAAACATCATTTGCGAGGAAAGAACTGTGAACTCCTGCTGGTGGTACCAGAAGAGGTAGAGGCTCATCAGAGTTGGAGGACCGATGTGTAACAGTTCTGCCCAACCTCCCTCTCGCCTCAGCCCCTTCAGTCCTCTGTGACGTGCTGTGGCCTCTACAGTGGGTCTGCCCTTGCCACTTCCCCAAACATCTCATCAAGTTTTTCCCCTTCAGATCTGACAGTGCAATAGGACAGACGTGTGGACTGTTATAAGAACTACTCAGTGTTTTGTTCCTGGGCAAGGAAGGTAGGAGTTCTGTGCACTTAAGGCCAGTGGTCACAAACCCTTGTTTTATTTAAGAGACAGAGGAGAAAGTGGAGCGGGGAGGGAATCCTAGCTTATTTTCCCTTTTCTATGAGGACTTGACACAGGTTCTGCTGAGTTGTCACTGCTGCTCCAGACTCACCTAGAGATGCTGCCTCCACTTTCCATCCTGTCTGGGTCTGAAAACAGTGGGTCTGCAGATAGTGCCCACAAACCCCATGTGACTGGTTTGAAGGACCCAGAGCATAAAGGTCTCTCAGGAAACCATGTCCAAAACCCTAGCAGCGGTACAGCATGCTGTCTCCAACCCTTATCCCCAGGTTTAAGGGTGGTTTATGGCCATACGTGGAGGTTTTTTGTTGTTGTTTTTGAGACTGAGTTTCACTCTTGTTGCCCAGGCTGGAGTGCAATGGCACCATCTCGGCTCACTGCAACCTCCACCTCCTGGTTCAAGCGATTCTCAGGCCTCAGCTTCCCAAGTAGTTGGGATTACAGGCGCCTGCCACCACACCTGGCTAATTTTGTATTTTTAGTAGAGATGGGGTTTCTCCATGTTGGTCAGGCTGGTCTCAAACTCCCGACCTCAAGTGATCTGCCCGCCTTGGCCTCCCAAAGTGCTGGGATTACAGGCGTGAGCCACCGCACCCGGCAGAGTTTTATAATGAAAAATTAACTAATATTCTAGTATGAAGTGAGGAGGATACTGAACAGGATGTGGCTAAAGCCAACCTGGGACAGCCATGGGGTGGCTTGGTTTCTTCACTCCAGTGTTGTCCCTACCATTTCGCAGCATTGATTTAGGAGGCTCTGGGACAAAAGAGAAGCCAAAGAGCAGTTTTCCCAGTTCACTCACTCTGGCAAAATCAGGAAAAAAAAGTCTGCTTTTGACATCAAATTCCACTAATTTGGGGCAGCGTTGGGTGAGGAAAGTATTGTGAAGACAGGCTTCTTGGAGTAGGGGCAGCCACAATTCAGTAGACACTCTAGGCTCGGAGGCTGCCACTGTAGTTGCCAAGCTCAGGTTGGGTGGTTCTGTGCTGTATGGATGGAATAGGACCTGGGCTGGTCATCTTCATGTCGTTTCCTCTCTGTATCAATGGAAGTTCAACCCGCCCCTACCTCTTCAGATAGTTGTAGGCCACTTTTCTCTTGTAACTTTGGAAAACAAAAGAGGAGAAATAAGTATCATACCATATGCGTGTCTCCAAAGTGGATGTGGTTGCCTCAAGGCAGGTGGCAGGCAGGGGTGACCTGCTGGCCCTCAGATCAATGGTCGTGGCAGGTCTGAGAGCTGTCCCACTGGCCAGACTTCTCTCCAGCAGCAAAGCCAGCCTGGGGCTTGCATGTTGATCCTGAGCAAGCTTAACGGGGTGAAGCTGGGCTTTCTCCCCCCTGTGACTGGAGTGCATGTTGACACCAGCACTTTTTCTGCACATGTATCTTCAATCCAACAAGGCCGTTTTTTTAATGCTGAGTAACAGGCCACCAAGCGGCTACTGCGTTATATCTTCTCAGCAACTGGCCGCAGTCTCTTCTGCACCATTTTCTACACCAGACCTGCTTGGCACCACAGGGAGCTCTTTTCCTGCCCTGCACAATGACATTCCAACCACCACCAGCCAGACATTACAGCCAACCTTGCTGATTGTCACAAGCAGGACCTTGGGGCCACTGGCACTGTCAGATAGTAAGCCATTTCTTGGGTAGAGGAGGAAACTCCTCTCCACAAATCCACTTGGGCCTGTGCAAATGGCACTTGAAAGAGTCCCCATGCACTTGGAGTCCATGAGCCAATGGGATATGCAAAGACGCTTAAACATTTCAGGGCTGGTTTCTCTGTTCATATCCAATTCTGGTGCTTAGGAACAGGGACCCATGCTGATGCCCAAGGGCAAAAAGCCCCACTTCCTTTAAGGAAGTGAACAGGCCTGACCCTGATGCCCAATAACGGGCAACCCTAGGCTTTTTGTTTTTCTTGCTTTTATTCCTTTTTGTTGTTGGCCTTGTGCTGCGTTTGTTTACAAAAGATGTATTTTGTTTAACCAAATATTAAAAATGGAAAACTCCATATATGTCTCCTTGTCTGCCTGAATTCTATAATTGTGTAAAGAAAAATAAACTTTAGTATGACGCTGTTTTAAAAGGAGTTCATTGCCAGCGTAAGTCATCTTTTAGAGACATATCATTCTTTGATTAACTCTTTCACCTGAGAAATCCAGACAAAATAGTCACTGAAATGGGATTTGGTTCAAAAGATGTCTCTAAGACATTTTTCAGTCTATTTTAATTTATAAAAACTAATCTTGACAATTTGAAGAATCCACCTAAGTACAAGTTTGTACCACACTGGTGACTAGTGTTTTTCCCTAGTTAACAAGTGAAAGATCATGTATACCCAGCGGGCCTGGGCCCAGCCCCACCATCCCGAGCGCACAGCAGCAGTGTTCTGTAGCTGGACTGCCTGGATTTGAATCCAGGTCTAGCACTTAACTCTGCAGCCTTGAGCAATTACCTTTCTGTGGCTGTTTCCTCTTCTGTAAAATGGGAACAGTACCACCTAGATTGTAGTGTTGGTTGATCTGATAAACACACAAAAGGCTTACTCTGGCTGGGCGTGGTGGGTGACGCCTATAATCCCAGCACTTTGAGGGGCCAGAGGCGGGTGGATGGCTAGAACTCAGGAGTTCAAGACTATCTGGGGCAACAAGGCGAAACCCTGACTCTACCAAAAATAAAAGAAACTAGCTGGGCACGGTGGCGTGTACCTGTAGTCTTAGCTACCCAGGAGGCCAAGTTGGAGGGGAGGTAAGAGGTTGCAGTGAACCCAAACGACACCACTGTACTCCAGTGAGACCTGATCTCAGGCAAAAAAAAAAAAAAAAAAATTCTGTCCCCCTCCCCTATTCCCCAGAAATCAGTACTATGTTATTCCCTACAAATACTTTATAATTACACAGTGTCATTATAGACTAAAGAAGTACATAGACCCAATCCTTTGTTTTAGGCTGATGGATCTCAAAGTGACTGCCTAAATTCAGGGCAAAGATTGCTATGAAGTACTTGGCTAAAAATGAATTTTCACTTGGAAACAATTTGGGCCTATGGCTGTTAAGATGGAGGTGCTGCTGGTTTAGGTGAGAAAATGTGAGGGGCAGTACATGTCTCTGACGTGGTCTCATTTCAAGGTACTTAGGATGACACTTTCAGTTGGAATCATTTTTAATATTTAAATACAAAAAGTGAGCACTGACTTCTCTTTTTTTAAACACACACACAGGTCTAACAGCCAAAATGTGCAGAGGAAATGAGCTCCTGCTGTCTTCCATAGTCCCCATTCTGTGGCTGAAGCTGCAGCCTGCCTCCCTCCTCTCATACATAGGGATTCATAGTGGCCACTTTACACTACAGGTGTAATGCATTTTGTCTGTTTCACATTGTGTGCATGTCCTGCCCCAACAACTCCATTCTTTAAAAAAAAAAAAAAAAAACAGTCGTTAATGGTCAGGGGCACATCCCTCCCACTGGCATCGGTTCCTACCCCACAAGGGGAAAGTGAGATCTTCCAGTTAGGAGCAATTTGGTGAAAGGAGTCGGGTGACCAGAGCTGGAATAACCATCTGCATGGCTGCACTCTGGTATCAGAGTGGAGACAGAAGTAAGGATAGTGTGGAGGGCACAGTTGCAAGTTGAGTCTTTCCATGAGACAATGTGGGGATAATTCTCCCCACCAGGTTTAGATAGATCAATGTGCCAAAGTTAAAAAAAAAAAAAAATCCAAATTATCAGCAGTTCAAACACTTGAATTTCAAACTTATCCCACTGAGACAGCTCAAACAGCAATAACAATCTAGATCTTTCCAGGAAGTGAGGGTAGAGCCCCTGGCATTCCTCCTGAGAGCCCTGTGTTAGGTCCTAGAAGTATCTGGAAAAGAAAAGGAGGGGTGTAAGGCATCATACAGGCCTAGAGAGCTTATTCTCACCATACCTGATGGGGCCAACGTCTACAAAAATAATACTGAAAGCACAGTCAGACAACTAAAAGAGCATGGGCCCGATCCCAATCCCCACCCACACATTAACTGTTGGTCAACTCAGGTGCTACAACAGGAGCCCTCAACCCCTGGGCTGTGGACTGGCACTGGCCCATGGCCTGTTAGGAGCTGAGCCACACAGCAGTAGATCAGCAGCAGGCAAGTGAGAGAAGCTTCATCTGTGTTTACTGCTGTTCACCATCGCTCACATTACTGCCTGAGCTCCACCTCCTGTCAGATCAGCAGCAGTGTTAGATTCTCATAGGAACACAAACCCTTGTGAACAGTGCATGCGAGGGATCTAGGTTGCAAGCTCCTTATGAAAATCTAATGCCTGATGATCTGTCACTGTCTCCCATCACCCCCAGACAGGACTGTCTAGTTGCAGGAAAACAAGCTCAGGGCTCCCACTCATTCTACGTTATAGAATTATTTCATTATATATTACAATGTAATAATAGAAATTCAGTGCACAATAAATGTAATGCACTTGAATCATCCAGAACCCCCCCCCCGACCCCCGGCCACCCCCAACCCACCATCCATGTAAAAACTGTGTTCCATGAAACCAGTCCCTGGTGCCAAAAAGGTTGGGGACCAATGTGTTAGTGAAATAACTTGCGTCTCCACCACTGGCAAAAAGCCCAAGGTCTGGGCTCACCTGCCGCTGCTGCAGTTGCTGCTGTTGCTCCATTTGCAACTTCTCCGTCTCAAAGACAACGGGAAGAACCAGGATCATAAAGGAAGTGGTCCCAATCCACAAGGCTGCCCTGGAAAACCTGCAGAGGAAAATCCCCAGAGGGTGAGCATGAAGACATGCAAACAAAACAGGCAAGAACTACCCAGTAACCAAACCTCTCACATTACATACTCCAATGTTTTTGATAAACGTATTCTACCCGCTCCTTACACCATACTCCTACCAGAGACAGGAGGAGCAGCTATGGTAGCTGTATCATCTAGTGATGGCGGTTTAACATTCTCCTGAGTTCTTACAAAGCTCCTTATTCATTAATTATCTCCAACAATCTGAAATAACCCCCACAACTCCCCTGCCAGGTAAGAATCCCCATTTTACAGAAGAGGAAACTAAGAAAGGATAGGGTACAAGCCCAAGGTCACCCAACACGGGTCTGCTGCTTCCAAACCCCGTGTTCTTTCACAGCACCACGACCATCCCATGCACGTACCCAGTGCCTTTGCCCTCGTTCCTTACCTGTACATTTTCTGAGCCACAAAGAGGGAAAGATCAAAAGTGGCTCCGGCCGCGGACCGGACCCTCTCCGGAAACATCTCCGTCAGGCCCCATAGTCTCTCCGACAGGGTCTCATCTAGCTGTGGTGGAGTAGACGCGGGTCTTAGCCGAAAAAGCGACATCCATTCCTGGCCCCGCTGCGGCACTGGGAGCCGCCGAGCCCCACTGGAGCTAGGGCACCCAGGGCCCAGCAGGGCCCCTAACCCCGCCTCCCAAAGCAGCCGCTTCGCTCCGATCCCGTACCACGCGGATCCCACACCCACGAGCGGGCCCGCTTCCCGCTCTGCACCCCGCGAGGCCCTAGTACCTCCTCATCGTCGTCCTCCTCCAGCTCCTCCTCAGGCTTCTCCGCGTCGCCTTTCGGGAGCAATTCGTCCGGGGACTGGGGTTCCCCTGCACCGGCAGCAGCGACGGCGGCAGCCATGACTGTAGGGGACACCGGAAGCGGAAAGGAGGTGAGCGCAGCCGAACGGCGGACAGAGCTGCTTTTCCGGGAGCCGAGGCGCGAGCCGGGCGAGAGCGGCGCCCTCTAGCCCCGGGTCCTCCAGTGCCCGCAGCGGGTCCGGCAGCCCTGGCCTTATCCGGGCGTCGGGGCTTCGGCGGGCATTAGCAGCAGCTGAGAGGCCTGTGAGAGGTTCTGGGGCGCCACCGCAGTCATTCTGTTCAGCGGGTATAGGGTGAGCTCAGAAACTTGCTTGTTTTTCTTTTTTTCAAATGCGTTGTTTTAATTCCAGGTAATAGAGTTCAGGGGAGAACAAAGATCAAAGGGCTGACTCTGGCAAGATTCTGGGGGCTTGTTTTACTTTAAGTTCACAGCTAAGGTAGGAGTGGCTGAGTGAAAACAACTCAAGAGATGATGAGCCACTGTATTTTTTTTTTTAACAAAAGTTTATTCTTAAATTTACAACAGGCTCCAAGACAACACTTTATTCGAGCATAGGTGGCCAAAGATGTGGCCGGGAATAGAGATGTTTAAAGACGAATGGAGTCAGGCCCACCATCACCGCAGGCCCAAGGGACAGTGGAACAGGTCGCTTTTTGTAAGATTTTAGCTTTTTGTTGTTGTTGTTGTTGTTGGTTTTGTTTTGAGACGGAGTCTCGCTCTGTCGCCCAGACTGGATGGAGTGCAGTGGTGTGATCCCGGCTCACTGCAAGCTCCGCCTCCCAGGTTCAAGCGATTCTCCTGCCTCAGCATGCACCACCAACCACGCCCCGCTAATTTTTTGTATTTTTAGTAGAGACGGGGTTTCACCATTTGGCTAGGCTGGTTTTGAACTCCTGACCTCAAGTGATCTGCCCGCCTCGGCCTCCCAAAGTGCTGGCATTACAGGCATCAGCCACCGCACCTGGCCTATATATAGTTATATATTATATATAATATATATTTTATGTGTGTGTATATATATACGTATATATGTATATATATGTATATATGTGTATATATGTATATATGTGTATATAGGTATGTGTATATATGTATATATATACATACGTATACATATATACGTATTATGTATATATACATACACACATATACACACACACACACACACACACATACATATATATATAAAGACAGGGTTTCACTGTGTTGCCTAGGCTGGTCTTGAACTCCGAGACTCAAGCAATCCGACTGCCTCAGCCTCCCCAAGTCCTAGGATTACAGGCCTATGCCACTGCGCCCCACCTTGCCGGATTTCTTAATTCGGCCTGTGACCAGGGCCAAAGATTTATCTTCCTTGTCCATCTCCTTGGCCTGCTTCTTGGGCTGTTTTAGAGAGACACTGATCCAGTTTCGTTTTCCTGAGCCATGTTTTACTTGGTAGGAATAAATTAGTGTCTTGCAGGTCTTTTGGGAAAACATCAGGTAAATCTTCCCTATGTACCAAACAAAGGTAAGAGTTAACACCTAAATACCAGGTGCTCTGGTGCCTGTGGGTGTGGGTGGGTGCGGTGTGTCCTCCTTTAATCTTCACAGCAGCTCACTGGGGTAGGCACTGTTATCCCCATTTTAGAAATGAGGAAACTGAGGCATAGTACATAGATTTCTAGTAAGTAGGTGAGCTGGTCAGAAAGTATGCAGATATAAATTTTTGTTTGAGTTTGTGTGTTTGTTTTTGAGATGGAGTCTTGCTCTGTCGCCCAGGCTGGAGTGCAGTGGCATGATCTCAGCTCACTGCAACCTCCTGGGCTCAAGCGATTCTCCCGCCTCAGCCTCCCAAGTAGCTGGGACTACAGGTGTGTGCCACCATGCCTGGCTAACTTTTTGTATTTTTAGTAGAGATGGGATTTCACCATGTCGGCCAGGCTGGTCTAAAACTCGTGACCTCAGGTGATCCACCCGCCTTGGCTTCCCAAAGTGCTGGGATTACAGGTATGAGCCACTGCTCCCAGCCTCTATCAGATGCTTTCATAATAGTACAGTAAATGGAAATGTCCTTGTCCCACACCCTCCCCAGCATTAGGTGTTATCCATCTTTTTACTTTTTGCCTATATGATGGATGTAAGTGCTTCTTTTTAAAATGTGCCCCATGTTATTAAACAGGGTAATTTGATAAACACCTTTAGCCAACTGAACCTGGAATCAGAGACTCCCAGGATGGGAGAGTCCAAATCCTTCTGTGATGCATGAGGATGCAGTAATGAGCATTTGTCCTGTGTCTCACACTCCTTCCGATACAGTCCCCAGGCCTCCCTTTCATCTTTGGACAGGGCATCTCTATCAGACACTTTTTTGTGTTTGTTTGTTTGTTTTTTGTGATGGAGGCTGGAGTGCAGTGGCGCAATCTCGGCTCACTGCAACCTCTGCCTCCCGAGTTCAAGTGATTCTCCTGCCTCAGTCTCCTGAGTAGCTGGGATTACAGGCATGGCCCCGGCTATTTTTAATAGAGATGGGGTTTCGCCATGTTGTCCAGGCTGGTCTCGAACTCCTGACCTCAAGTGATCCAGCCTCCTTGACCACCCAACATGCTGGGATTACAGGCGTGAGTCTGGCCTATCAGACAGTTTTCATGTGACAAAAGGGTACTCCTGTATGATTCCATTATATAAAGTTCAAAAACAGGCAGAAACCAATCTATGATGAGAGGTCAGGACAGTGATTCCCTTGAAGGGGTTAATTTTGGAAAGGGGCAGGAGAGTAGCTTCTGGGATGCTATGGTTCTCTTAGGTCTGTGTTGATTTTGGGTAATTCATCAAGCTGTACACTTATGAACTATGCTTTTTTGCCTGTGTTAAAAAGGTTACTTTTTTAAAAAGAGCGGGGCTGGGTGCGGTGGCTAATGCCTGTAATTGCAGCACTTGGGGAGACTGAGGCGGGTGGATTACCTGAGGTCGGGAGTTCGAGACCAGCCTGGCTAACATGGTGAAACCCCCTGTCTACTAAAAATACAAAAATTAGCTAAGCGTGGTGGCAGGCGCCTATATTCCCAGCTACTCGGAAAGCTGAGGCAAGAGAATCCTTGAGCCTGGGAGGCGGAGGTTGCAGTGAGCCAAGATTGCGCCACTGCACTCCAGCCCGAGCGACAGAGTGAGACTCTGTCTCAAAAAAAAAAAAAAAAAAAAAAAAAAGCGGGCTAGCCCTTTATAATTTCGAGGGCAGCTTAAGAGCCCAGTGCCAACAGCTTTTAGTTCTTTTATGGGTTCATTTAAGAAATGCTAGAAGACTAATGCTATTGAACGTAGAGGGACCAATCTTATTTGAAAAGCACAGACATTAGTGACTCCAAATGGAAAGTAATTCGCAATGCTAATGTGGAGAAGTTTTAGGAAAACCAATGAATTTTGCTTATATTCATAAGAGCAACACATGATTTAAAAAAAAAAAACCTGTTTAAGGATGAAAGAGCTCTTTCAATGATTATAGAATTTCCAAGGGATAAGAAAAAATACTGGAAATCATGCAATGCAGAGTGTTCAGAACTTTGGGAGGAGATGAGATGATCTAGAAAAGATAGAGTGAGGCTGGGGGCAGTGATTCATGCCTATAATCCCAGCACTTTGGGAGGCTGAGGCAGGTGGATCACCTGAGGTCCAGAGTTCGAGACCAGCCTGGCCAACATGGTGAAACCCCATCTATACTAAAAACAAAAATTAGCCAGGCGTGGTGGTGAGCACCTGTAATCCCAACTACTTGGGAGACTGAGGCAGGAGAATCGCTTGAACCCGGAAGGCAGAGTTTGCAGTGATCCAAGATTGCACCACTGCACTCCAGCCTGGGCGACAGAGTGAGATTCCATCTCAAAAAAAAAAAAAAGAAAAGAAAAGAAAAGGCAGAGTGAGAACAGAAGACAGAGCCCTGGCCGGGCGCAGTGGCTCACGCCTGTAATCCCAGCACTTTGGGAGGCTGAGGCGGGTGGATCACGAAATCAAGAGATTGATACCATCCTGGCCAACATGGTGAAACCCCATCTCTACTAAAAACACAAAAATTAGCCAGATGTGGTGGCAGGCGCCTGTAGTCCCAGCTCCTCAGGAGGCTGAGGCAGGAGAATTGCTTAAACCCGGGAGTTGGAGGTTGCAGTGAGCCGAGATCACGCCACTGCACTCCAGCCTGGCAACAGAGCCAGACTCTGTCTCAGAAACAAAAAAAAAAGACAGAGTCCTGTGGAATCAGACATTTAAAGATTGGGGAGAGAGGGAAACCAGAGGGCTGAGGAATTGCTGAAGTCTTCAAGAGGAAGGCTCAGCAGCAGAGATGACATGGTGAGACTGGTGCCAGGATGGAGGTCGCATCAGTGGACAAGGGTGTCAGCAAGTGAGTGGCAATGCCCCATGCTAGGAGCCCAGGTGACTGCCATCGGATGGGAGAGGCAGGTTCAAGAACGCTGGGCTCTTAGCTCCTCTACTCCCCATCTCTCGAGCCCAAGATTTCCACCTTGCTTGTTTCTGTCCTGTCAGAATTAGAAACATGTGATATAGTAGCTCTTAATTGGGGGGTGGGGGCATGGCTCCCTTCGAGAATCCTATAAAAACTATAAGCCCCTCTCATTAGAAAGTGCACATTAGCCCATGCCTGTCCTGTTGTCTGCGCAGTTCCCCTTGCTAGGACTCAAACTCGGTCTTCCTGCCATTACTGCCTCTAATCCTGCACTCATGCCCTCCCTCTCGTCCACAGAATCTTCTTTTCTTTTCTTTCTTTTTTTTTTTTTTTTGAGATGGGAGGCTTGCTCCTTTGCCCAGGCTGGAGGGCACTGGTGCAGTCTCGGCTCACTGCAACCTCCACCTCCCAGGTTCACATGATTCTCCTGCCTCAGCCTCCCAAATAGCTGAGATTAGGTGCCTGCCATTATGCCAGGCTAATTTTTGTATTTTTAGTAGAGACAGGTTTTTGCCATGTCGGCCAGGCTGGTCTCAAACTCCTGACCTCAGGTGATCCGCCCGCCTCGGCCTCCCAAAGTGCTGGGATTAGAGGCATGAGGCACCGCGCCAGGCCCTTTTTAAATTTTTTTTAAAGAGACGGTGTCTTGCCCTGTCACACAGGCTGGAGGATACAGTGGTGCAATCTTGGCTTACTGCAGCCTCGATCTCCCAGGTTAAGGGATCCTCTCACCTCGGCCTCCAAAGTAGCTGGGACTACAAGTGTGTGTCACCACGCCTGGCTAACTTAAATTTTTTTTTTGTAGAGATGGTGTCTCAGTATGTTGCCCTGGCTGGTCTCAAACTCCTGGGCTCAGCCCAATCCTCCTTCCTTGACCTCCTGAAATGCTGGGATTACAGGCGTGAGCCACTGTGCCTGGCCAATAAAGTCTTTGAGGATGAAGAATTTTAGCCAGAACCTGAAGGATATATCTGGCTCTATTTAGATTTGAAAATATATAATGTCTCAAGAAAAACAAAACAAAACACCTCGCTGAAGCAAACAGGGTTAGTGTGGCGATATATGGGTGATTTTTTTTCCTTTTCTCCTAAAGACTTTCATTCATGGGACTGTCCCTGATTCCCAGCCATCACGGGGAGGCTCTACCTTCAAGTGTTATCCAGAATCAGACCACCTCACCTCATCTACTGTGGCCTCCCTGGGATGGGCCTGGCCTCCTTCAGTCTGTTCTCACCACAAAGCCACCAGAAGGATCCTTTTATTTTTATTGATTGATTGATTGATACGGGGTCTGACTCTGTCAGCAGGCTGGAGTGCAATGGCACGATCTCACCTCACTGCAACCTCTGCTTCTTGGACTCAAGCAATCCTCCCACCACTGCCTCCTGAGTAGCTGGGACCACAGGTGCACACCACCACACCCAGTTAATCTTTTTGTATTTTTGGTAGAGATGGAGTTTCACCATTTTGCCCAGGATGGTCTCAAACTGTTAAGCTCAAGCAATCTACCCACCTCAGCTTCCCACAGTGCTGGGATTACAGATATGGGCCACCACGCCCAGCGCCTTTTAAAAGTGCAGTTGGATCATAGCATTTATCTGCTCATAACAATGGCTTTTGCTTCCCCGCTCACTCAAAAGAAATTCCTTCTTCACTGCAGAACTGCCCCTCCTACCACAGGATGTTTAGGGTTCCTGGCTGCAACCCCCAAAGGTCCTAATGGTGCTGGTCATGGGGGGATCCACACCATTGTGACAACGAAATATGCCCACATGATGCCCAAGGCTTCAGTCCTGGCCCCACCCTTCCACTGTGTCACTGTGCTGGGTTGGTTTTCTCATCTAAAACATGGTGATGGGGATAACAAACTTGAAAGAGTGTCATGCAAATGAGGTGTCCAGCATCGGGAGGTGTCCAGCATCAGGAATATTAATAAAGGGTCCCCAGTGATACCGGCCGAGGCATAAGCAAACTCCACTGCTCCTATTATCTGCACCTGAAGATTTACACCTTGCATATATGTGGATCCTTTTCCAATTTCTTCTGTATTAAACATTCTCTCCTGTATCAGAAAGTCAGGTTATGGGTTGGAGCTACAAATCTGCCCTTCGATCCATCCCCCCCATAGAGTGCTTTGCTGGCCGTAAGGATGGACTGCAGACAGCAGCTCCCTTTGAGGCCGCCCCCAGCTCCTCTCTTTCATAGCGGGCTGTGTGAATCAAGCTCCAGCACTTCTACTGTGTGATCCTAGATCAGTGTCTGAACCTCCCAGAGTTTCCTTCTCTGCAGATGGATGTGCCGATAGCCCCTGCTACACAGGGCTGAGCTGAAGGGGAAATGAGACAGTGAGAGCAAAGGGAGCCTGGTGCCAGGCATGTACCGGGCATTCAGAAGTGGCTAACCATGGTAGCCTGTCCCTAGTCTAAAGCCCTGGGCACCATGCCCCCACCTCCACCCCCTCAGTTCCTTCCCGCTTGACTTCAGGAGCTGGATTCCCTCCTCTTGCCAGAAAAGTCCAGCTCATACTGCCTACGGCACAAATTCTCACACCAACCATTAGGTTCCTGCCAGGTCCTGGCCAGTCCCAACACCATGAAGCAGGAGGGCAGGCGAATTTTGAGCAGAGAGACTGTTTCTGTTTGGCATCAGCCTCTGCCAATGCCCAGGAAAGCTGGAATGCTCTCCTACAAGAGTGACAGTTCCCCACACACTAAACATTCTTTTTTTTTTTTTTTTTTTTTTTGAGACAGAGTCTTGCTCTGTCGCCCAGGCTGGAGTGCAGTGGCCGCCTCCCGGGTTCAAGTGATTCTCCTGCCTCAGCCTCCCAAGTAGCTGGGACTACAGGCATGTGTTACCACACCCAGCTAATTTTCTTTTGTATTTTTAGTAGAGACGGGGTTTTGCCATGTTGGCCAGGCTGGTCTCAAACTCCTGACCTCAGACGATCCACCCACCTCAGCCTCCCAACGTGCTGGGATTACAGGCGTGAACCACCACGTCCGGCCAATTCTGTCTTTTGATGGAACAACAGAGGCTTAGACTCCAGGCTCCAGTTACTTTTTTTTTTTTTTTTTTTTTGAGACAGGGTCTTACTCTGTCACCCAGACTGGGGTGCAGTGGAGCAATCACAGCTCACTGCAGCCTCAACCTCCCTGGGCTCAAAGTGATCCTCCCATCTCAGCCTCCTGAGAGACTGGGACTACAGGTGTGCACCACCACGCCCAGCTAATTTTTTTTTTTTTTGTATTTTGTTTCGCTATTGCCAGGCTGGTCTTGAACTCCTGAGCTAAAGCAATCAGCCCGCCTCAGCCTCCCAAAGTGCTAGTGCTAGGATTACAGGTGTGTGCCACCACACCTGGCCAGGCTCCATTTAATTCTTTTTTTTTGGAGACGGAGTCTCGCTCTTGTCGCCCAGGCTGGAGTACAATGGTATGATCTCGGCTCACTGCAACTTCTGCCTCCTGGGTTCAAGCGATTCTCCTGTCTCAGCCTCTCAAGTAGCTGGGACTACAGGTGCCCACCACCACGCCTGGCTAATTTTTGTATTTTTAGTAGAGACGAGGTTTCACTCTATTGGCCAGGCTGGTCTCGAACTCCTGACCTCAGGTGATCTGCCCACCTCAGCCTCCCAAAGTGCTGGGATTACAGGTGTGAGCCACCATGCCTGGCCAGCTCCATTTACTTCTTGAGAAACTCATGGTTCTCTTTTTAGTCACTTTGGTCACAGAGAGATTATTTAACATCGTTTAATAAAAAAGTAGTAGTGCAAACAGGAAAGTAGCATAAAAATATAGTGTTGTTGTGGAAGGCTGGTGCTTGCTGCTGAGAAGCTGAAGCCAGAGGAGGCCAGGTGTGAGGAAGGAGGATTCTTTAAAGGCAAGAAGAGAGAGGCCTGCCTTTAAGAGCCAAGAGAGCCGCTCATCCATGACCCCAACACAGAGCTCTGTAGAACTGCTGTCACACGCCAAACACCAACATAAGGGGGTGAGAGAATGAACTCCAGCCGCTTCTCCCAACACAACCCAACAGAGCTATTCTGGGACATGTGTGTTTGCGAGCTTGTGTGTGGAGAGCACCAAAAAGCTCATCAGCAGCCCCAGGCCTCTGTGCGGTCTGGTTTTCAGACTGGCACCCGCAGGCAGTGCATCTGAAGCACCTTCTAGTTACTATCCCCATCTGGAATCTTGGTTTTCTCCATTCCATGTCACCTTCTATTGCCAACCCAAGGGTGCCAGTGCCTGTGGGTCTCATTATATGATACTCTCTTCCAGGACTGAATCCGCTAGTCTGGCCAAAAAAAAAGCACTCAGCCACATCCTACTCCCCAATAAATGTCTCTGGGGTCTTCATTTTCTCTTCCGGCTGATCCTCAGTTCATCCAGTTCCTTCTCCATTAAGTGGGATTCAGCAGTGGACTCTGAAAGCTGAAAGTGAAGCAGCGGCTGTTAGCAAGCAGCACATTTCTAGGAAATGTTTCGGGTTAGCAAGGCCGGCCCTACACACGGAGGAAAGGCCCCCTGCCACTTCTCTGATGCTGCTGGCTTCCTCGATGGGAAACCCTCTGTAACTGGGTAGAATGCAACCCCTGATGACCCAGGACCACAAGTACTTGAAGAATATTCACAGTCCACTCTGTCAGCACGCTGTCACCCACGAGGGCATGGCACTCCCTGCACGAAGGAGAGCAGGTCTCAGAGGACGTCAAAGGCAGATACTGGTGATTGTAAGGCTAAGGGATTAGAGCTGAAATTGATTCTAAGCTGTAGCTCCCATAATGGGGATGAGGGGAAAAAATGCTAGAAATAGAATGCCACTTTCCTCCTTAGGGTTTTTTTGTTTTTGTTTTTTGGTTTGTTTGTTTTCTGAGACACGGTCTCGCTCTGTCGGCCAGGCTGGGTGCTTTTCTTGTACTAACTCACTATGAGGTAGATACTACGATTATGCTCATTTTTAAAAAAAAACATCCAGGCCGGGCGTGGTGGCTCATGCCTGTAATCTCAGCACTTTGGGAGGCCAAGACAGGGAGATCACTTGAGGTCAGGCGTTGGAGACCAGCCTGGCCAACATGGTGAAACCCCATCTCTACTAAAAATGCAAAAATTAGCCAAGCGTGGTGGCGGGTGCTAATCAGGAGGCTGATGCAGGAGAATCACTTGAACCCGGGAGGCAGAGGTTGCAGTGGGGCAGTGGGTGGAGATCATGCCACTGTACTCCAGCCCAGGCTACAGAGCGAGACTCTGTCTAAAATAAATAAATAAATAAAAATAAAAATAAAAAAACATCCAGCCTAAAATGTCAGTCTTTTTCTTTTTTTTTTTTCCAAGATGGGGTCTCACTCTGTTGCCCAGGCTAGAGTACAGTGGCGCGATCTCAGCCCACTGCAACCTCCACCTCCCGGGTTCAAGCAATTCTCCTGCCTCAGCCTCCTGAGTAGCTGGGATTATAGGCGCATGCCATCACACCCAGCTAATTTTTGTATTTTTAGTAGAGACAAGGTTTCACCATGTTGGTCAGGCTGGTCTCGAACTCCTGACCTTGTGACCCGTCCACCTTGGCCTCCCAAAATGCTAAGATTACAGGCATGAGCCATCATGCCCAGCCTAGTCCTTTTTTAAAAAAAAAAAAAAGATGGCATCTTACTTTGCAGCCAAGGCTGCTCTCAAACTCCTGAGGTTAAGCCATCCTCCTGTCTTAGCCTCCCAAGTAGCTGGGACTACAGGGGTGCACCACCACAATTAGCTATTATGCCATTTATTGCTGAAGAAATTAAGTTACAGAGCAGTTAGTCAGTAGCAGAGCTGGGTGAGGAACCCAGGCCATTTTGCTCTGGAGTGTGTGCTCTTAACCACTACAGTGTATGCTCTCCTGCCTCTGAACCTTCACAGGCTCCTCTAGGCCCAGTGGGTTGCTGGATTTTTAACAGCCACAAGAAACCAACACTAATGCAGTGTGAGCCCCTCAGCTGGTCTGTACTGGGCACTGATTAATGCCTACTTGGTATGAGACACTTCCAAGCCATGAGCCGGCTCTACCCCTCTTCCTGGAATGCCTTCATCTAACCTCTATTCCTGCCATTATCCTTCCACATTCAGCTCAGATATCCCTTCCTCTGGGAAGCTCTCCCGACTTGACAGAAATAACTTCTCCCTCGTGTGCTGTGCAGATCCTGTGCAGACTCCAACTGGGTCCTTATGTAATTATGCTTACGGTCGGTCCACCTGCCTCTACACTGTGAGGGCAGGAACTGTGTCTTGTTCCTTGCGTGTGGCTTTGGATGCAAAGCAACGTACCTGGCCAAACTGGCATTGAGGAGATATCTGTTGGATTAAGTGACTCGAGGTGGAGCCTCCCCAAAAGGAGAAGCTAGGCCTCTCTTCCCCATCACCTGCCTCACCATGTCTAATAAGATGTCCACTTTCAGCCGCAAGAGATTGTTCTCTTCCTCCAACTGCTGGTTCCGCCTGCGAAGGCGCTGAACCTCCCTCCGGTCCACACCGCCACTAACCCCTGTCTCTGGAGGAAGGACAGAACCAGTTAAAGGGGGATTTCCTCCTACAATCTTGTTTGACAAAATGGCAGGAAGTGCAGCTCACCTGCTATCCACTGGCCATTTTCAAACTTCAGGCTTTGCCCTGCCAGGTTCATAGTCGGGGATCCGTATTCCAAGCCCAGCTCCACCTCCCGGGTTGATCGATCCAACTGTGGGCGAGATGCTATGTGACAACTTCAGCAGGCCCGGAACACGCCTTCATCCCAGCTCCTCTTCCGCCAACAATATGACCCCAACAACTCATTTCTCTAATCATTACTTGGCACCTTTAATGATTTTTTTAAAGCCATAAAATCAAATGATGTACAGGAAAAGTTTAATTGTGAGATAAAAAATATACTGTTTTATACATTAGATGTTTTCCAGAAAAGCTATATATACTGAAATTTATAAATTGAATTATTTTATACCTACTTGACACTTAATAGTTTAAGCAATCCTACTATAAACTGTTAATCAAGTGAAAAATTCTTTTTAAATGTAATAGTCCCCCAAGTTATCATTTGCTTAATATGGAGCTACATATGTTGTGGAAAAGACATAAAATTCTAACAATTAGGAGGAAGAGGAGTTGCTTCTTAACGTGCGACAGTACAATTTACATATTCTATTCTTTTCTTTTCTTTTTTTTTTTTTTTGAGACGGAGTTTCGCTCTTTCACCAAGGCTGGAGTACAGTGGTGCGATCTCAGTTCACTGCAGCCTCCGCCTCCCGGGTTCAAGTGATCCTCCCATCTCGGCCTCTGAATAGCTGGGACTACAGGCATGCACCACCATACCCGGCTAATTTTTGGGGTTTTTTTTGAGACGGAGTCTCACTCTTTCGCCTAGGCTGGAGTGCAGTGGCACAATCTTGGCTCACTGCAACCTCTGCCTCCCAGGTTCAAGCAACTCTTCTGCCTCAGCTTCCCGAGTAGCTGGGACTACAGGCGCACGCCACCACACCTGGCTAATTTTTGTATTTTTTAGTAGAGACAGGGTTTCACCATATTGGCCAGGCTGGTCTCGAACTCCTGACCTTGTGATCCGCCCACCTCAGCCTCCCAAAGTGCTGGGATTATAGACGTGAGCCACCGTGCCCGGCCTAATTTTTGTATTTTTTAAAGTAGAGTCAGAGTTTCGCCACATTGGCCAGGCTGGTCTCAAACTCCTGACCTCAAGTGATGCGCCCACCTCAGCCTCCTAAAGTGCTGGGATTACAGGCATGAGCCACTGCGCCTGGCCTAGATATTCATTTCTACAACTCACTGAGCACCCACCCCGATTCGGGACTCGGTACTGGGTATCCAGGGATGCGTATGACCAGCTCTGCCCTCAATAGCGGCTCAACACAGGGAGACCTTCAGGTAAGTGCTCAAATGTCCCTTTCTCAGTTAGGCCTTCCTGACCACCCTGTTGAAAATGAAAGCTCAGTCCCCAGTGCTCAGCCACACCCCATCCCAGGCCTATGCTTTGTTTTGCTGTCTGGCACATATCACCATCTGATATAAATTTGCTTATTTTCTGTAGCCTTCCGTTAAAGTATCTGCCCCATGAAAGCAGGGATTTGATGTTTTTCTCTCCCCTCCTTCATCCACTTCTGCATGCCCAGTGCTTAGGAGAGTGCCTGGCACATAGAAAGGTATCAATCAATAGCTCTTTAATTAATCTATTCTAGATTCTAGAATTAAACATTCTAGGCAGAAGGAGTAGCGTGCGCAGAGGAGGTTCACACGGGGCTTGGGCGGCTGCAGCACAGGGTGTGCAGAGGGCAAGGGCAGGAAGGAGAGCTGGAGTGAGGCCACCAAGGGTCATTTGTGCTGCTCCCAAGATCTGGGTGGTTATCCTGTAATAACGGGGAACTAATAAAATCCACCAGTGACCATATGGAGCGCTGTGGAGGCCTTACAAGTACCAAGGCTTACAAGTACCTGTCAGCATGTGGAAAACAATGTAGGGGAGGACCGACTTCAAGTCACGGTCAGAGACAGACGTCATGTAAGCACACTGCTGCTCTTACGCTGTGTGGGATTAGGACAGAGGATGTCCTAGAGGGACCGCCAGGTGTATCTGCATCTCTCACACATGGCAGAGAGGAAAGGGAGCCTCAGGCCTAGGGGCACCAGAAACTGAGATCCTAAGCCTCTGCCTGGCCTGCTCCACAGAATGCCCAGCTCTGGCCACAGTGGGGCTGCCCCCACCATGATTTTCACTGGGAACAGGAGACAACAGACTCTTAAGACCTGAAACCTGTAGTGAATGCTCAGCCCCCACAGCCTTGTTGTTCAACCCCACTCGCCTTCTGTGAAGACATGGCCAGTCTGCATAGCTAGCTCTGTAGGAAAAGGTCACAGAATAAAGTAGAAGTCAAATTGGATGATACTGGCTGGGCACAGTGGCTCACACCTGTAATCCTAGCACTTGGGGAGGCCAAGGCGGGTGGATCACCTGAGATCAGCAGTTCGAGACCAGCCTGGCCAACATGGTGAAACCCTGTCTCTACTAAAAGTACAAAAATTAGCCGGGCATGGTGGCGGGCAGTTGTAATCCCAGCTACTCAGGAGGCTGAGGAAGGAGAATCGCTTGAACCCGGGAGGTGGAGGTTGCAGTGAGTCAAGATCGCGCCACTGCACCCTAGCCTGTGGGACGGGAGTGAGACTCCATCTCAAAAAAGAAAAAAAAAATTTGGATATTTGGGGTCAAATATCATAATGAGATTGTCTTCTTAGGTTCTTGGATAAACAAGCTCTGACGATCATTCCCAAACAAGAGTTCAAAAATGTTTTCCGCAATAGCAATGATATGGACGGAAAGGATGCCCTCCTGCACTGATGCCTCTGGAGGACCACACTTTCCATTCAGAGACACGCTCAGCACTCAACTCATGCTGCACACCCGGCCGACCCCAGTACCGACACTCACAGAATGCAGGTTGGAGAGAGATGCCGACTTCCGAGGAGGTGTCTTCTTCGGACTGAACGTATTCCCAAAGAAAGGCATCTTTGGCCTGATGAAAGCAAAGCCAGTGCTCCCTTCTCCTAGGGTCAGAAAAAGTCAGGGGTACAAGCAGCTGGATCACTGACCTTATGCCATTGTCTTCAAATCTTGAAGACATACATTTTATCATGTGGCTACTAACGATCCTGGTGCTATGGTTTGAATGTCCCCACCAAAACTCATGTTGAAATTGAATTGCCATTGTTTAACAGTATAAGGGGTGACTGGGCCATGTGAGCTCTGCTCTCATGAATGGATTAATGCCATTGTCATGGAGTAGGTTAGTTTTCTCTGGCGTGGGCTCCTGGCAAAAGGATGAGTTCTGCTGCCATGCTGTCTGTCTCATGCACTTGCTCACCATGTGAGCCTTCTGCCTCACACAGGATGACCCTCACCAGATACTTGCACCATGCTCTTGGACTTCCCAGTCTCCAGAACTGTGAGCCAAATAAACTTCTTTTCTTTATAAATTACCCAGTCTGTGGTAATCTGTAACAGCAGCACAAAATGGATTAAGACGCCTGGTAATAGCTCCCATGTGCTGAACGCTCCCTTTGTGCTACGCGGTATGCTAAGATTTTTTGGGTGGCACACAGTGGCGCATGCCTGTAGTCCCAATTACTTGGGAAGCTGAGGCTGGGGGGTCGCTGGAGCCCAGGGAGGTTGAGGCTGCAGTGAGCTGTGGTCCACTGCTGCTCTCCAGTCTAGGCTACAGAATGAGAGACCATGTCTCAAAAAAAAAAAGTTAGCCTGGCATGGTGGCACACAACTACAGTCTCAGTGACTCAGGAGGCTGAGGTAGGCAGATCACTTGAGCCCAGGAGTTTAAGACCAGCCTGGCCAACATGGCAAAACTCTGTCTCTACAAAAAATACAAAAATTAGCCAGGTATGGTGGTGCGTGCCTGTAGTCTCAGCTATTCAGTAGGCTTAGGTGGGAGGATCACTTGAACCTATGAGTCTGAGCCTCCAGTGAGCTATGATCATGCCACTGCACTCCAGCCTGAGTCAAAGAGCATTACCCTGTCTCTAAAAAAAAAAAAATAAAGAAAGAAATGGCTGGGCACGGTGGCTCATATCTGTAATCCCAGCACTTTGGGAGGCCGAGGCGGGCAAATCAAGAGGTCAGGAGTTTGAGACCAGCCTGGCCAACGTGGTGAAACCCTGTCTCTACTAAAAATACAAAAAATTAGCTGGGCATAGTGGCGGGTGCCTGTAATCCCAGCTAGTTGGGAGGCTGAGGCAGGAAAATTGCTTGAACCCAGGAGGCAGAGGTTGCAGTGAGCCGAGATTGCGCCACTGCACTCCAGCCTGGGTGACAGAGCAAGACTCTGTCTCAAAAATAAATTAAAAAAATAAATAAATAAATGAGTAAAGCTATGCTTATATTTCCTTTCCAGATTGATAACAGTGCTCCTCACTTGTCACCAGTGTCACTTGTCAACAGTGCACCTCATATGTCACGTTACCTGTTCTGTTATGGAAGGTGACGTGAGGTGTCCTGAAAAGGGGGCAGGTCCACGACATGGCGGAGCTGACAACAACACCCCCCCAACCTGTACATTTGCTTTTAGCATAATGCAACCTATTGCAATTCACCTAGGCCTAGTTAAGTAGATTTCCTGATAACACCCTGGTTTTTGGGGAGAAAAGGAGGGGAGAAGCAAACTTTTTATTTAGGCTGGGAGCAGTGGCTCACACCTGTAATCCTAGCACTTTGGGAGGCCAGGGAGGGAGGATTACTTGAGCACAGGAGTTCAAGACCAGCCTGGGCAACTTAGCAGGGCCCGTCTCTACCAAAAAAAGGTTAAAAAAGAAAAAAAAATATATATATATATAACATTAATACAGAAAAGTCTACCACAAATCATAAGTGTAAGGTTTCATGAGTTTTTACTACACAAGTATAACCACCCTCCAGGGCCAGGCGTGGTGGTTTATACCTGAAATCCCAGCACTTTGGGAGGCCAAGGTGAGAGGATTGCTTGAGCCCAAGAGTTCAAGACCAGCCTGAGTGACACAGCGAGACCCCCATCTCTAAAAAAATTAAAATCAAGTATTTTTTAAATTTTATTTTTTATTTATGATTTTTTTTTTTGAGACAGAGCCCTGCTCTGTGCCTCAGCCTTGTAAATAGCTGGGATTACAGGTGTGTGCCACCATGCCCAGCTAATTTTTGTATTTTTAGTAGAGACAGGGTTTTACCATGTTGGCCAGGCTGGTCTCGAACTCCTGACCTCAAGTGACCTGCCCACCTTGGCCTCCCAAAGTGCTGGAATTACAGGTGTGAACCAACGCACTGGCTCAAAACATTTTTTTAAAACCACCCTCCAGATTGGGATACAGAGCATTTCAGCACTCCATAAGCCTCACCTGGCCACTGTACATGCACAGAATTGCACAGTGAGTCCTCGTTTGCATCTGGCTTCTCACACTCAACGTCATGTTTCTGACATTTATCCATGCAGCTGTGTGTAGTTATAGTTTGTTCATTTGCATTGCTGGATAATATTCTATTGTATAAACACAGCAAAATTTACTTGTCTACAGAAGATGGACATTTGAGCTGTTTGCAGTTTTGTTTTGTGTTTCTTGAGACAGGGTCTCGTTCTGGTCCCCCAGGTTGGAGTGCAGTGGTACCATCTCTGTTCACTGTAGCCTCAACCTCCCAGGCTCAGGTGATCCTCCCATCTCAGCCTCATGGGTAGCTGGGACTATAGGCACGCACCACCATGCTGGCTAATTTTCTGCATTTTTAATAGAGATGGGAGTTTCGTCATGTTGCCTAGTCTGGTCTTGAACTCTTGGGCTCACGTGATCTGCCTGCCTCAGCCTCCCAAAATGCTGGAATTACAGGTATGAACCACCACACCCGGCCTGTTTCCAGTTTTTGACCACCAAAAATAGTGCTGCTAGGCCAGGCATGGTGGCTTATGCCAGTAATCCTAGCACTTTGGGAGGCCAAGACAGGAGGATCACTTGATGCCAGGAGTTCAAGACCAGCCTAGGCAACATAATGAGACCTCATCTCTACAAAAAATTGAAAAATCAGCCAGGCGTGGTGGTGTACCCTTGTAGTCCTAGCTACTCAGGAGGCTGAGGTGGAAGGATTGCTTCAGCCCAGGAGTTTGAGGCTGCAGTGAGCTGTGATCACCACTGCACACTTCAGTCTGGGCAACAGAGCAAGACCCTGTCTCAAGAAAAAAAAAAACTACTGCTAAGAACATAAGACTTGAGCATGTATATCTACATGCATATGTACACTTTTCTGGTTCCATACTTAGGGGTATAACTATAGAGTCACAGAGCATTCATATATTTAGCTTTAACAGATTCTGCCAAATGGTTTTCCAAAGTCATTGTACCAATTTAGACTCCTATCTGTAGTTTGCAAGAGATCCTTGTCAATATCTGGCACTTTCTTTTTCATCTTTTCCATTCTGGCAGGTATGTAATGGTGTTGCATTGTTTAATTTGCTTTTCCCAAATAACTAATTAAGTTGAGCATCATTTAACATACTCCTTGGACATATATGGATTTTTTTGTGGCATGCTTATTCATGTATTTTGCTTTTTTTTTTTTTTTTTGAGATGGAGTCTCCCTCTGTCATCGGGCTGGAGTGCAGTGGCACAATCTCAGCTCACTGCAACCTCTGCCTCCCAGGTTCAAGTGATTCTCCTGCCTCAGCCTCCCGAGTAACTGGGATTACAGGAACACACCACCATGCCCAGCTAATTTTTGTATTTTTAATAGAGACAGGGTTTCGCTATGCTGGCCAGGCTTGTCTCGAACTCCTGACCTCAAGCAATCTGCCCGCCACAGCCTCCCAAAGTGCTAGGATTATAGGCATGAGCCACCGCGCCCAGCCCTCTTTTGCCATTTTTTAAAATTGAGCTGTCTATCATGTTCATTTTGTAAGGGTTTGTAAGGGTATTTATATACGCTGGATACAAGTTTCACTACTGTATATATGTACAGTACTGAAAATATCTTCTCCCACTTTTTTCTTTTTGCTTTCTCCTTCTTTTTTTTTTTTGAAACACAGTCTCGCTCTGTCACCCAGGCTGGAGTGCAGTGGTGCTATCTTGGCTCACTGCAACCTCTGCCTCCCAGGTTCAAGAGATTCTCCTGTCTCAACCTCCCAAGTAGCTGGGATTACACACACCTGCCACTAAACCCAGCTAATTTTTGTGTTTTTAGTAGAGATGGGGTTTTGCCATGTTGGCCAGGCTGGTCTCGAACTCCTGACCTCAAGTGATCCACCCACCTCCGCCTCCTAAAGTGCTGGAATTACAGTCATGAGCCACTGCGCCCGACCTCTTTTTGCTTTCTTTTTTTTTCCTTTTTTTTTTTTTTTTTTGGAGACAGAGTTTCGCTCTTGTGGCCCAGGCTGAAGTGCAATGGCGCCATCTCAGCACACCGCAACCTCCACCTCCCGGGTTCAAGTGATTCTCCTGCCTCAGCTTCCCAAGTAGCTGAGATTACAGGCATGCGCCACCACGCCCGGCTAATTTTTGTATTTTTAGTAGAGACAGGGTTTCTCTATGTTGGTCAGGCTGGTCTCGAACTCCCAACCTCAGGTGATCCACCCACCTCAGCCTCCCAAAGTGCTGGGATTACAGGTGTGGGCCACCGCGTCCGGCCTCTTTTTGCTTTCTTAATGCAACCTCCGCCTCCCGGGTTCAAGCGATTCTCCTGCTTCAGCCTCCCAGGTAGCTAGGACTATAGGCACGCACCACCACATCCAGCTAATTTGTGTATTTTTAGTAGAGACGGGGTTTCACCATGTTGGCCAGGATGGTCTCAATCTCTTGACCTCGTGATCCACCTGCCTCGGCCTCCCAAAGTGCTGAGATTACAGGTGTGAGCCACAGCTCCCAGCCAGAAGTTCTTAATTATAATGAAATCCAATTATTTATTTATTTATTTATTTATTTTGAGATCAAGTCTTACTCTGTCGCCCAGGCTGGAGGGCAGTGATGTGATCTCAGCTGACTGCAACCTCTGCTTCCTGGGTTCAAGCAATTCTCCTGCCTCAGCCTCCTGAGTAGCTGGGATTACAGGCGCCTGCCACCACACCCAACTAATGTTTGTACTTTTAGCAGAGATGGTGTTTCGCCATGTTGGCCAGGCTGGTCTTGAATTCCTGACCTCCCAAAGTGCTGGGATTACAGGCATAAGCCACTGCACCCAGCCCAATTTATTATTATTTCTTAATGATTAGTGCTTGTATTGTATTTTTAAAATGTTTGCCTACCCCAGGCTGGGTATGGTGCCTCATGCCTATAAATCCTAGCACTTTGGGAGGCAGAGGCAGGCAAATAACTTGAGTCCAGGAGTTCAAGACCATCCTGGGCAACATGGCAAACAAAACCCTGTCTCTACCAAAGATACAAAAAATTAGCTGGGCATGGTGGTGTACGCCTGTGGTCCCAGCTATTCAGGAGGCAGAGGTGGGAGGATTGCTTGCGCCCAGGAGCCAGAGGTTGCAGTGAGCTGAGATTATGACACTGCACTCCAGCTTGGGTGACAGAGTGAGATCCTGTCCCCCGCCCCCCAAAAAAAATTGCCTACCCCAAGGTCATGATGATATTTTCTGTTAACTTCTGGTAATATTATTGTTTGCATTTCACATTTGTGACTATAATTCATCTTGAATTAATATTTGTATATGATGTAAAACAGGGGTTAGTGTTCTTTTTTTCCCCATATATCACCCAATTTTTTATTTTATTTATTTATTTATTTTTTTTTTTGAGACAGAGTCTCATTCTGTTGCCCAGGCTAGAGTGCAGTGGCGTGATCTCGGCTCACTGCAGCCTCAACCTCCCAGGTTCAAGCGATTCTCCCACCTCAGCTTCCCAAGTAGCTGAGATCACAGGCACGCGCCACTAGGCCCAGCTAATTTTTGTGTCTTTTGTAGAGACGGGGTTTCGCCATGTTGCCCAGGCTGGTCACGAACTCCTGAGCTCAAGCGACTGGCCCAACTTGGCCTCTCAAAGTGCTGGGATTACAGGCCTGAGCCACCACGCCTGGCCTATATTATTCAATTTTAATTTATATCACGCACACAGCTTACAAAGAATCCTTCTAAGAAGCCATAGACTGAAGAGAACAACAATGACGGCACAAGTGAGCAAAAAGAAAACAGCCGACCTCTCACTGCTCCTCCTGGGCGTAAGGTCTTCCTTCACTACATTATGAAATAAAAGCAGTAACGGGTTAACTGGATCTGACAAGAAATGGGCCAAAAAAGGCAGGAGGAGGGGTTGGTATCTTTTCAAGACTATTTGAAACAAGGTTTTATATCCATTATCATTAAAAGAGAATTCAAAGTATGAATCCATCACAATCAGCAAGATATGTATCCAATGAGAACAGGAAAAAAAACTTCCAGGCTGTTTTCATTAAGGGAGAAATTGATCTCACTAAAATTAATGATAAAAGTTAAGAAGCTTCTTTGGAATGTATGTAAAACATACAATACATAAGTATATGTATATGTAATTTATAAATAAATGAAGGTATTTGGGGTTATGTGCTCATGACAGCTTTCCTGGTAGTTACGTGTTTGAATTAAAAACAATCATACAGTGGCTCACGCCTGTAATCCCAGCACTTTGGGAGGCCAAGGCAGGTGGATCACCTGAGGTCAGAAGTTCGAGACCAGTCTGGCCAACATGGTGAAACCCTGTCTCTACTAAAAATGTACAAAAATTAGCCGGGAGTGGTGGTGCTCACCTGTAATCCCAACTGCCTGGGAGGCTGAGGCACAAGAAACGCTTGAACCTGGGAGGCGGAGGTTGCGGTGAGCCGAGAACACACCACTGCGCTCCAGCCTGGGTGACAGAACGAGACTCTGTCTCAAAAATAAAATAAACTAAAATAAAATCATAAAAATAAAAAGAATCATAGACCAGCAACTTAGGGGATGGCATTTGGGCCTGGGCACAGCACTTTAGAACTTGGACAAACCAGAGTGCTTCCAGCTTGGTAGTGGAGGGGACGGGGTGGGGACCAAGATGCAGAGGGGGGTTGATGCTATGTCACCATCCAAAACACATTGTAAGGCCCTGGCACTGTTTCTGCTGGAGAAGAGAAAGAGGTTAGAAGAGGGAAAAGCATTAATCTTATGTCTGTAATCTTATGTAAAGGACAGAACAAAAATAAAATAGGAATATCCATGAATAAAGTTCTGGAGACTGAGGCAGGAGAATCGCTTGAACCCAGGAGGTGGAGGCTGCGGTGAGGGAGATCGTGTCATTGCGCTCCAGCCTGGGCAACAAGAGTGAAACTCCGTCTCAAAAATAAATAAATAAATAAAGATGAAAATGCTAGGGTTTGGGGTAGTTTCCCAATTTTCCCAAGGTGCATAGCCATGATCAGTTGGCTGAAGGTGTATATGCGTCTGCGTGTGTGTGTGTGTGTGTGTGTATGTACCTGTACACACACATATATGGTATACGTGTATATACATATGGTGTGTGTGTGTCTATATACACATGTATATACTTATCCTTGTATTAGTAACATGTGAGGCACATCATTAAAAGATGCATTTTCGGCCTGGTGTGGTGGCTCATGCCTGTAATCCCAGCACTTTGGGAGGCCGAGGCAGGTGGATCACTTGAGGTCAGGAGTTCAGGACCAGCCTGGCCAACACAGTGAAACCCCGTCTCTACTAAAAACACAAAAATTAGCCAGGCGCGGTGGCATGAGCCTGTAATCCCAGCTACTCGGGGGGCTGAGACAGGAGAATCACTTGAACCTGGGAGGCAGAGGTTGCAGTGAGCCAAGATCACGCCACTGCACTCCAGCCTGGGTGACAGAGCAACACTCCATCTCAAAAAAAAAAAGTTAAAAAAATGCATTTTCACTCATCATATTGGCAAAAATTAAAAAGATGAATAATACCCATGGTTGATGAGGATGTGAAGAAAAAGACACTGTTATTACTGGTGGAATCAGAAGATGCTATAATTCTTTCAAGGGCACTCAAAACTTGGCAAAATTGTCAATGTGTACACTTTTTGGACAGCAACTCTACTTCTAAAATTTTACACTCCAGAAAGACTTGGACATGCTCACACCCAATGTTCTCTATTGTTGATAACAGTAAAAAATAAGAAACAATCCAAACAATTTGGGTGTAGCCAAATAATTTGTGGCACATTCTTTTTTTTTTTTTTTTTTTTTGAGACAGAGTCTCACTCTGTCGCCCGGGCTGGAGTGCAGTGGTGCGATGTCGGCTCACTGCAAGCTCCGCCTCCCAGGTTCACACCATTCTCCCGCCTCAGCCTCCCGAGTAGCTGGGACTACAGGCGCCTGCCACCACACCTGGGCAATTTTTTGTATTTTTAGTAGAGATGGGGTTTCACCGTGTTAGCCAGGATGGTCTCGATCTCCTGACCTTGTGATCTGCCCGCCTTGGCCTCCCAAAGTGCTGGGACGACAGGTGTGAGCCACCGTGCCCGGCCAGCACATTCTTATAATAAAATTGTGGGCCTAAGCCGGGCACGGTGGCTCATGCCTATAATCTCAGCACTTTCGGAGGCTGAGGCAGGTGGATCACTTGAGGTCAGGAGTTTGAGACCAGCCTGGCCAACATGATGAAACCCTGTCACTACTAAAAAATACAAAAATTAGCCAGGTGTGGTGGCACACGCCTGTAATCCCAGCTACTCAGAAGGCTGAGGCTTGAACCCAGCAGGCAGAGGTTGCAGTGAGCTGAGATTGTGCCACTGTATTCTAGCCTGGGCGACGGAGCAAGACTCTGTCTCAAAAAAAAACAAAAAACAAACAAACAAAAAAAACCAATTGTAGGCCAGGTACAGTGGCTCACACCTGTAATCCCAGCACTTTGGGAGGCCAAGGCAGGCAGATCACTTGACGCCAGGAGTTCGAGACCAGCCTGGCCAACATGGCAAAACCGCATTTCTACTAAAAATACAAAAATTAGCCCAGTATGTTGGCGTGCGCCTGTAATCTCAGCTACTCAGGAGGCTGAGGCATGCGAATTGCTTGAACCCAGGAGGCAGAGGTTGCAGTGAGCAGAAATTGCGCCACTGCACTCCAGCCTGGACAACAAAGTGAGACTATATCTCAAAAAATAAAAATAAAAATAAAAATAAAATTGTAAATAGCAATTAAAGACAGTGAGATAGCTGTATATGAACTAACCTGAAAGACTTCTGACATGCTTTAACACTGCGAAAGCAGGTTGCAGAATGATGTGTATGGTATTTCCCCCATATGATAAGACAAAGTGAAAATAAAAGAATAGGCCGGGCGTGGTGGCTCACGCCTGTCATCCCAGCACTTTGGGAGGCCGAGGCGGGCGGATCACGAGGTCAGGAGATGGAGACCACTCTGGCTAACACAGTGAAACCCCGTCTCTACTAAAAATACAAAAAATTAGCCTGGCATGGTGGCAGGAGCCTGTAGTCCCATCTATTCGTAGTCCCAGCTACTCAGAAGGCTGAGGCAGGACAATGGTGTGAACCCAGGAGGCAGAGCTTGCAGTGAGCCGAGATCGCACCACTGCACTCCAGCCTGGGCAACAGAGTCAGACTCCATCTCAAAAAAAAATAAAATAAAATAAAGTAATATATGTGTGTATTAAAAAAAAGAAAGAGGCCAGGTACGGTGGCTTATGCCTGTAATCCCAGCACTTTGGGAGGCCGAGTTGGGCAGATCACGAGGTCAAGAGATCGAGACTATCCTGGCCAACATGGTGAAACCCTGTTTCTACTAAAAATACAAAAATTAGTCGGGTGTGGTGGTGTGCGCCAGTTGTCCCAGATACTCAGGAGGCTGAGGCAGGATAATTGCTTGAACCCAGGAGGCAGAGGTTGCAGTGAGCTGAAATTGCACCACTGCTTTCTAGCCTGGGTGACAGAACAAGACCCCATCTCAAAGAAAAAAAAAATAGAAAAGAAAGAAAGAGATCTGGAAGGATACACCAAACTGTTCATAGTGGTTAAACCTGAAAAAGGGAATAGGATGACTGACTTGAATGAACTTGTCATTTTATAGGTTAAAAAAAGGTCAAATTGTGACAATTTCATATGGTACAATATAAAATTATATTAAATATACTCGAGATTTAATGAATTATTACAATGAGAATATATTCATGTATTACTTATGAACAAAATAAACAAAACACAGTTAAGAAGCAGCCCCCAGCATGCCTAAAATCTAGAGACATTTGAAGAAGGAGAAATAAGTCAAGTCCCCACTGATGCTAACTGCACTGGGCCTGAGCACATGGGCTGGACACAACAAGTTTAGGGGCCTGGCTCTCCCCTTCAGTTGCCTGCTAGACCTTGGCCCAGCTGCTTTACTTCTCGGGCTTTAACTGGGCACCTTACTCATGACCGCACTAATTCTCATAACACTACAGCTGGGAGCTGTCATCCATGTATTACAGATGAGGAAGGGTCTGGATTAGCTACCTTTTAAGTCAGATCTAATAATCCACAAACAGCTCAGCTGAGATCCTGGGATTCTGGGGCATCCGCGTGCACTTGAGATACAAGCTGTCCCACTGGCCCATGGCAACCTTCTTTCTAGTGAAACTCCCAGGGCGAGCGTGCTCCGCACACAGGAAGTGAAGGGGGAGCACCTGGCTTCCAATGATCACTCTGCGGCTCACCCACAGTGGGACCCCAGCATTTATCCCCCTTGGACTTCGGCTTCTTTCTTTGCACTGAGGAATAATAATAGTACCTGGCTCACAAGATGTTATAGTGTTTTAGTGTTTATAGGAAGCTGTGCACTTGATCCTCACAACGACCCTGGGAAGAGGATCGAGTAAGTAGAGCCTTCCCAGTCCACAGATACTGATACTAATCACTAATCATTGTGTAAAGGTTTTCCGTTTGCAACAGGCCATAAAATATATTATCTTACTTTAATTCTAAGAAAACAAGGGCGGAATCTCTGGTTTTCATCGGATTCTCAAAGATATACGTGTCCCCCAAGGAGTTCAGAGGTAGCCATGTTACGCAGATGCACGGCCCCCAGGGCTGTCGGACTCAAGTAACAGCTGTCAACAAACGTTCACACGCACGATCTCATGCAATCATCTTCACGGCGACCTACGGGGAGGAATTACCGCCCCAATTCACAACCGCGGAGACACACAGAGGAGGGCGGCCACCGCCCGGGGTCGCCCGGCCTCCGTCCCCTTCCCCAGGCCCTCCTGAAGCCTCTCTCCAGGCGAGGCCCGGACGTCCTACTCAGCTCGGGCCCCCGAGTGAACCCAGGCAGCGCTGGCCGGCGACGCCGGACTCGGAGACGTACCTGACGCGTCCCAGAAGCCGGGGTCCAAGCGCTCCCCGAACCCCCAGCAAGGACTCTGTAGCCCAGAGTTACCTTGACCCACCCGCCTCCTGCCGCCTGCCCGCCACGCGCATGCGCTGCCCCGCCCGGCCTCTACCACCGAGGAAAGGGGTAACCGGCGCGGGGGTTCCCAGCGCCAGCCTGCGCCAATCCCCAGAAACTCCGTGAATCACCTCGGGATAGCAAACGGATTATACAAAGGCAGTGTCTTCTGGGGTCCTTTTCATGCCTCTAGGACCAGGACCTGCATTCACCCTCTCCACTGACACATTGGTCTGGGCCCCCGGCCCGGCTGTCACCATAGAAACGGCATCTCGCGGACAACGCGGCGGCTCACGAAGGTTCCATTGTTATGCTAAACGGGAAAGTGGAGACCGCGCCGGCGTTGCCTAGAGAACGCCTGGACTCAGAGTAGCAAAATGGGCCTCTCCCCAACTCCCCTCCTCATCCCCCAGCACAAGGCAAAGGGCACCCCTTGCTGTGAGTTTGGGGGCACCGGCTGTCGGGGGCCGACCCAGAACTTTGCGGGGTCCCCTGAGGGACCCGTGGCGGGACCGGCCCCGGGTTCGTCAAATTCCGCCGATGCTTTCAGGTAAGACGGACGGACAGACGCACCATGACCCACCTCTGGCAGCCTGCCCCCTCCCCGTGCCGTTATGGCGGCTTCTACAAGCAAGGGAAGCTGAGGCCCAGGGACTACTTAAAGGTTGCATTGTGAGGAAGGGACAGAGAACTACTGGAGAATCAACTCCAGATCTCCTAGAGTCCTAAAAGCGTGTGTTATTGGTTCCGTCTGATAAGTGCAGAAACTTAGGCCGTTCAAGGAGTTTACCGGCTGCCTAGTGGGTGTATCAGGGCATCCAGTGAGGGGCAGGACCCAGGGGTCTTTGACTCCAAGCGCAGTTCTCTTCCAACTACACCACCCTGCATTAAAAGAGGGGAGACTTCCATGTCCTAGAACTAAAATCTTCACAATCTGGCTTAGCATTGTGCAATAGAAACATAAAGCAGGCCACATATGTGATTTGGAATTTTCTAGTAGCCACATTTTTTAAAAAGTAAAAAAGAAAGCCAAGTGAAATTAATTTGAGTAATGTTTTAAACTCCATATGTCCAAAACATTACTATTTCAAGATATAATCAGTATTTCTAAATTTGCACTGCTTCCATTTAAAAATTTAATTTTTTTTTTTTTTAAGACAGAGTCTCACTCTGTTGCCCAGGCTGGGATTGCAGTGGCATGATCTCGGCCTCCCGGGTTCAAGCGATTCTGCTGTGTTCACCTCCCAAGTAGCTGGAATTACAGGCACCCACCACCATGCCCGGCTAATTTTTTGTATTTTTAGTAGAGATGGCGTTTCACCATGTTGGCCAGGCTGGTCTCGAACTCCTGACCTCAGGTGATCTGCTTGACTCGGCCTCCCAAAGTGCTGGTATTACAGGTGCGGGCCACTGCGCCTGGCCAAAATTTGAATTAATTAAAATTAAAATTTTACTCTTGGCTGTTCTATCTATGGAGTAGCCATTCTTTTATTGCTTTACTTTAAAAAAATTTTACTTTTTTTTTTTTTCGAGACAGAGTCTCGCTCTGTCGCCCAGGCTGGAGTGCAGTGGCATGATCTTGGCTCACTGCAACCTCCGACTCCTGGGTTCACGCCATTCTCCTGCCTCCGCCTCCCAAGTAGCTGGGACTACAGGCGCCCGCCACCATGCCAGGCTAATTTTTTTTTTGGTATTTATTTATTTATTTATTTATTTATTTTAGATGGAGTCTCGCACTGTCGCCTAGGCTGGAGTGTGCAGTGGTACAATCTCAGCTCACTGCAAGCTCCGCCTCCTGGGTTCATGCCATTGTCCTGCCTCAGCCTCTCGAATAGCTGGGATTACAGGCGCCCGCCACCAAGCCCAGCTAATTTTTTTTTTTTTTTTTTTTTTTGGTATTTTTAGTAGAGATGGGGTTTCACCATGTTAGCCAGGGTGGTCTCGATCTCCTGACCTCATGATCCGCCTGCCTCGGCCTCCCAAAGTGCTGGGATTACAGGCGTGAGCCACCGCGCCCAGCCTTTTGTTTATTTTTTTGAGACAGGGTCTCATTCTGTCACCCAGGCTGGAGTGCAGTGACATCATCCCCACCTCCCAAAGTATTGGGATTACAGGTATGAGCCACTGCATTCAGCCTTAAAATTTTACTTATTCAGTCACATTAACCAAATTCCAAGGACTTAATTGTCACATGTAGCTAGTGCTATTTTGATGGCCAGCACAGTCTGGGCACTTCCTACCTTTCCAGCCTCACTTCCCGCTGCTTGGATGGTACATTTTGGATGGCATATTATTTCCGCTCCCCATTTTTTCTTTTTTTTTGAGACCGAGTTTTGCTCTTGTTGCCCAGGCTGGAGTGCAGTGGCGCGATCCGGCTCACTGCAAGCTCCGCCTCCTGGGTTCAAGCAATTCTCCTGCCTCAGCCTCCAGAGTAGCTGGGACAACAGGCGCCTGCCATCACACCCGGCTAGTTTTTTGTATTTTTAGTGGAGACGGGGTTTCACCGTGTTAGCCAGGATGGTCTGGATCTCCTGACCTCGTCATCCGCCTGCCTCGGCCTCCTAAAGTGGTGGGATTACAGGTGTGAGCCACCGCGCCCGGCCCTGCTCCCCTTTATCTAATTAACTTGTGCTCCTCCTTTAGCACCTTGATCTCCTTGTATGGTCAAAACACACTATTATGTCATCTTACAGTGTTGTTCCCTTTGAAGTAGTGATGACAGTTATAACTCATAATTATGATTTACGTAATTGACTCATTGTCCTGTCTCCTCCAGTAGATGTAAGCCCCTTGAGGGCAGGGACCAAGTCTGGTTTAGTTCACTTTCCTGTCCCGAGTATGAGCATGCTGCTTGCTTATGGTAGGTACTCAGTAAATAATCATTTCATCCACAGTCCTCAACCTTTTTGGCTTCAGGAACCAGTTTCATGGAAGACAATTTTTACACAGACCTGGGATGGGGGGGATGGTTTTGGGATGATTCAAGAGCATTACAGGCCGGGTGCGGTGGCTCATGCCTGTAATCCCAGCACTTTGGGAGGCTGAGACAGGCAGATCACGAGGTCAGGAGTTTGAGACCAGCCTGACCAACATGGTGAAACCCCATCTCTACTAAAAATACAAAAATTAGCCAGGCATGGTGGCGTGCACCTGTAATCCCAGCTACTTGAGAGGCCGAGGCAGGAGAATCACTTGAACCCAGGAGGCGGAGTTTGCACTGAGCCAAGATTGTGCCATTGCATTCCAGCCTGGGCAACAAGAGTGAAACTCTGTCTCAAAAAAAAAAAAAAAAGCATTACATTCATTGTGCACTTTATTTCTACTGTTATTACATTGTAACATATAATAAAATAATTCTACAACTCACCATAATGTAGAATCAGTGGGAGCCCTGAGCTTGTTTTCCTGGAACTAGACAGTCTATCTGGGAGTGCTGAGAGACAGTGACAGATCATCAGGCATTAGATTCTCATAAGGAGCACACAACCTAGGTCTCTTGCATGCACAGTTCATAATAGGGTTTGCACTCCTATGAGAATCTAATGTTGAAGCTCATCTGACAGAAGGCAGAGCTCAGGCAGTCATGTGAGGAATGGGGAGTGGCTGTAAATACAGACAAGCTTCTCTCACTCACCTGCCACTCACTTCCTGCTGTGTGGCCTGGTTCCTAACAGGCCACAGACCTACACCCATCCATGGCCCTGGGGTTGGGGACCCCTGATTGTATGACTGAGGGTTATACTAAAAAGTCTGTCAGATGCTAAAGTCAGCATTTTTTTTTTTTTTTTTTTTTGAGATGGAGTCTTGCTCTGTCACCCAGGCTGGAGTGAAGTGGTGTGATCTCGGCTCACTGCAAGCCCCGCCTCCCAGGTTCACGCCATTCTCCTGCCTCAGCCTCCCTGGTAGCTGGGACTACAGGAGCCCGCCACCACGCCAGGCTAATTTTTAGTAGAGACGGAGTTTCACCATGTTAGCCAGAATGGTCTCGATCTCCTGACCTCGTGATCCACCTGCCTCGGCTTCCCAAAGTGCTGGGATTATAGGCGTAAGCCACCACGCCCGACCTTTTTTTTTTTTTTCTTGAGATGGAGTCTCGCTCTGTCGCCCAGGCTGGAGTGCAGTGGCGTGATCTCGGCTCACTGCAAGCTCCGCCTCCTGGGTTCACGCCATTCTCCTGCCTCTGTCTCCCAAGTAGCTGGGACTGTAGGTGCCCGCCACCATGCCCGGCTAATTTTTTGTATTTTTTAGTAGAAACGGGGTTTCACCATGTTAGCCAGATGGTCTCGATCTCCTGACCTCATGATCTGCCTGCCTCGGCCTCCCAAAGTGCTGGGATTACAGGTGTGAGCCACTGCGCCTGGCCTAAAGTCAGCGTTGTTTTTATATGCTCAAATATATTAACTTTTTTGTTATTTTAATTTTTCTTTTTTTCATATCGCCTCTTCTGAGAAGCATCAAATATGTTAACTTTATTTATTTATTTTGAGACAGGGTCTTACTCTGTCTTTCAGGCTGGAATGCAGTGGCATGATCTCAGCTCACTGCAACCTCCACCTCCCAGGTTCAAGCGATTCTCCTGCCTCAGCCTCCCTAGTAGCTGGGATTACAGGGGCCTGCCACCATGCCCAGCTAATTTTTGTATTTTAGTAGAGATGGCGTTTCACCACGTTGGCCAGGCTGGTCTCGAACTCTTGACCTCATGATTCGCCTGCCTCGGCCTCCCAAAGTGCTGGGATTACAGGCGTGACCCACCACGCCCAGCCCAAATATGTTAACTTTAAACAGGGCATTTGAATCTTGACTGCCAGAATGTGTGCTCCATGAGGGCAGAAGGTTTCTTACTCTTCCACTCTTCTGCCCTGCCCCCAGCACATCATATTGCTTGCCACAGGGTAGATATTTAAGGAAGCTAGTTTTCTTCCCTCTCCTTTTATCCTCCCCAAGTAATGGCAGTAAAAACTTACCATGTTTCAGAGAATACCTAAAATGGTATGAAATATTCAGAAGGGGCTGGGAGTGGTGGTTCACGCCTGTAATCCCAGCACTTTGAGAGGCCAAGGTGGGTGGATCACCTGAGGTCAGGAGTTCGAGACCAGCCTGGCCAAAATGGTGAAACCCCATCTCTACTAAAAATACAAAAATTAGGCAGTTGTGGGTGGCAGGTACCTGTAGTCGCAGCTACACGGGAGGCTTGAATCCAGGATGTCAAGGCTGCAGTGAGTGAGCCAAGATCGCGCCACTGCACTCCAGTCTGGACGACAGAGCAAGACGCTGTCTCAAAACAAACAAACAAACAAACAAAAAACCATGGTAAGTCTAAAAGGAATCACAGTTAATCCATAATTTGCCTAGTGGAGAAAGCAGTAGAAGCAAATCATTCCAGTTCACTATTGTGAGTCCTGTGATAGATGAATGCAGAACCTTGGGCTTTGCAGAGGAGGCATGGTGCTAATGGCTTGGAATTATTTGAGAAGGTTTCCACAGATATGTCACCTGGGCGTAGTCCAACAGAGGGAACCACATCTGGAAAGGCATAGAGGTAGGAAGAGCATTGTGTGGTCAGGGAGCAGGAAGAAGTTCTGCGGGTCTGGCATGTAAGATGCATGTCTGTGGAGAAGATGGAGCAAAGGCCTGAACCGGAGGAGAGGGAAGGAGAGTATGGTGAAAGGGCATTTGAGTTCATGTTCCCACCAAACTCAACGTTTTCTCTGTCCTTCCGTTATGTATGAGCTTCTAGAGGGCAGGATCTAAGTCTTTTGCTGTATTATAACGAGGCCTATCACACTAGACTCTGGACATAGAGGGCCCACAGATGGAAGTAATGGGTTCCTGGCCAACAAGCAAGGACCCAGGAGAGCTGTTAGACCAGAGTGTTGCAGAGCCAAGGAGGAAGAGTAGGGTTGGGGCCAGTTTTCTGAGAGGGAGCAGAAAGCTTCAGGTTGATCAGGAGCCTCGCGCTGAGGAGATGGACCCCTTATTCTAGAATCACAGCATCGGAAAGCTGGAGAGAGCCTTAGGGTCACCTAATCCAAATCTCTTTTAGAGTTGGGACTCAGAGAAGCAAAGAGATCTGATTTCATTTCTCGTTTGGGAACTGACTTGCTGAGTGGTCTGGAGTAGTCTGGAGCCCTGGCCTTTTCCGCATTCTAGTTTCCTTATTTTTAAAACTAGAACAATTTTCATCATGGGGGAGGGGCAGAGGGAGAGTCAGGCATCAGACATTGGAAGAACAAGTCCATATACCTTGAAATCCTCATTTAAGAATAGGCTTCTCAGACGGAACCCTTTCATTCCCCATGCAGGCATGGGACATGTGCTTTGCCATCAACCCTGTGTAGCTGGGGAACATGGTTGGGCTTTTCTTCTTGTGTTTTCTGAGCTGGCTCTATGCTGTTTATGATTTCCAGGAGGCTGATTAAACAAACGACAAGATTGGAGTGGGAAATGAGAGGCTCTTAAAAGTGGAAGCTTTTTGTTTGTCCATTTACAAGAAATTGGACAATGAATCACTTCAGGAAGATGGAGGTCATCAACCTCACCACCCTACCTATGATACCAGTGGATGAGCACCTGGCTGTCTCGCTTGTCGCACGGAATACAATGGTGAAGACTGTGAGGAAGGAGTTAGAGAACAATCCACCCTGTATCCTTCTGGTGATGTCACCTACAATCAGACCAAATACACCTAACTTGAGTCATGCCACAGAGATCTAATCAGTGCTCAGGTCTATAATGCACATTACTTATTAGCTTGTCCCTTATACATTCATTTTTTCTTTTCTTTTCTTTCTTTTTTTTTTTTGAGATGGAGTTTCACACTGTTACCCAGGCTGGAGTGCAGTGGCACAGTCCCAGCTCACTGCAACCTCTACCTCCCAGGTTCGAGCAGTTCTCCTGCCTCAGCCTCCTGAGTAGCTGAAATTACAGGTGCCTGCCACCACACCTGGCTAATATTTTATATTTTTAGTAGAGATGGGGTTTCACCATGTTGGCCAGGCTGGTCTTGAACCCCGGACCTCAAGTGATCCACCTGCCTCGGCCTCCCTAAGTGCTGGGATTACAGTCATGAGCCACCTCGCCCAGCCATATTCCTTTTTTTTTTTTGAGACAGAGTCTCACTCTGTTGCCCAGGCTGGAGTGCGGTGGTGCAGTCTCAGTTCACTGCAACCTCCACTTCCCAAGTTCAAGTGATTCTCCTGCCTCAGCCTCCCGAGTAGCTGGGATTACAGGCGCCTGTCACCATGTCCAGCTAATTTTTTGTATTTTTAGTAGAGATGGGGTTTCACCATGTTGGCCAGGCTGGTCTTGAACTCCTGACCTCAGGTGATCTGCCCGCCTTGACCTCCCAAAGTGCTGGGATTACAGGCATGAGCCACCGCATCTGGCCAGATACATTTTTTCAATTACTTAAACTCTACCCATCCTCTAAAAGAATTTGAGACTGTGAAGGACTGTTTGACTCCAGTATTTTTTACTAACATAATCAGAAAGAGCCCCAAAGGAAGAAGCTCTGGAAGTATTTGTGGAAAGAATGGGGAAGAATATTTTAAAAGCTAATTTTAAAAAGTGGTTGCCATCTTTCCCTTCTATCTCCCAAAGAATTATAGATGTTATTGATAGCAACTAAGAAATTGTGGTGCAACCCTCCACCCTCAGACAGATGAGCATGAAACCCAGCTTTTTCTTTTTTTTTTTTTTGAGACAGAGTCTCACTCTGTTGCTCAGGCTGGAGTGCAGTGGCATAGACTCGGCTCACTGCAACCTCTGCCTCCCAGGTTCAAGGGATTCTTCTGCCTCAGCCCCCAAGTAGCCGAGATTACAGGCACCCACCACCACGTCTGGCTAATTTTTGTATTTTTAGTAGAGACGGGGTTTCACCATGTTTGTCAGGCTGGTCTCGACCTCCTGACCTCAGGTGGTCCACCCACCTCAGCCTCCCAAAGTGCTGGGATTACAGGCGTGAGCCACCGCACCCAACCTTTAGCCCATTTTTAAATCAGGTTGTGTATTTTCTTACTGTCGAGTTTTTAAGAGTTCTTTAAATATTTTGTTTGTTTGTTTCTGAGACAGAGTCTCACTCTGTCGCCCGGGCTGGAGTGCAGTGGCATGATCTCGGCTCACTGCAACCTCCACCTCCCGGGTTCAAGCAGTTCTCCTGCCTCAGCCTCCCAGGTAGCTGGGATTACAGGCATGTGCCACCACGTCTGGCTAATTTTGTATTTTTAGAAGAGACAGGGTTTCTCCATGTTGGTCAGGTTGGTCTCGAACTCCTGACCTCAGGTGATCCGCCTGCCTCAGCCTCCCAAAGTGCTTGGGATTACAGGCATGAGCCACTGCACCCAGCCTTTTTTTTTTTTTTTTTTTAATCAAGTTGACCTTGCCTCTTCTCACCTGCCAGCCCTTCTCCCTGGCCCCAAATCTGCTCCTTCTGGCATCGTCCAGGCTCTACCAGCATCTTACTGCCCTGGCCCTGTCTTCGTTCATCCTCTTCTCACTTCTGACCCTGAGTTGTATTCCAGGGTCACAGAACTCCATCTCTGGAGGACCTTACAGCTCGTCCAGTAAATAACCCTCTCGGACTATAAATAACCCCAGGTCTTTCCATCTCCTGTGGAGCTCATTTACCTTCAAGCCATCCTGCCAGCTCAGCTGCATGTACCACTCTGCCCCCCTCACCTTCCTTGCCTCTCAGAAGCCCTTCTTAAGATGAGGCAAAGTGTGATCCCATCAGAATTTGCTTCAGGGTCTCACTTTGCAGGGCTGCTTTCTAATGTCCCCTCTTTCTTCTTAATCCCACACCTAAGAAGTCCATTTTACCTGCTGTGATTTGTCATGTCCCTTCTTGGTATCTTCCTTTTTCAAGTATCCTCCAATTTGTAAGAACACTTGAGGGTAATGAAAGTAAGAGTGAACCTTGCTTTATGTGAAGGGAGTGAGGGGTGATAGGATTATGGGGGTTTTACAAAGGATATATCCTAGATCAATTGAGGCTAAGACAGAAAGAAATATAAAAGCTGAGAGGGTAGGAAGAGGGGCCATAGAACTGAACAGATTTTAAGTGATAAACAAGGTTGAGATACCCTTTGACGCCGTCATCTGTCCCCTGAAAATCTCTCATAAAGAAATACTCTAAAATATGGAAACAGCTCTCTGTGACATCACACATGCATCACAGCATTATTTATTTTTCTTTTTTTTGTTGTTTCGTTGTTTTGTTTTTTTTTGTCACTCAGGCTGGAGTGCAGTGGCGCAATCTCAGCTCACTGCAACGTCCGCCTCCTGGGTTCAAGAGATTCTCCTGCCTCAGCGCTCAAGTAGCTGGGACTATAGGCGTCTGCCACCATGCCCTGCTAATTTTTGTATTTTTAGTAGAGACGGGATTTCACCATGTTGGCCAGGCTAGTCTCGAACTCCTGACCTCAAGTGATCCACCTGCCTCAGCCTCCCAAAGGGCTGAGATTACAGGCGTGAGCCACCGTGCCTGGCACACAGCATTGTTTTGTTTTATTTTATTTATTTTTGAGATGGAGTCTCGCACCATCGCACGGGCTGGAGTGCCGTGGCACGATCTTGGCTCACTGCAACTTCCACCTCCTGGTTCAAGCGATTCTCCTGCCTGAGCCTCCCAAGTAGCTGGGATTACAGGCACCCGCCACCACGCCCAGCTAATTTTTTGTATTTTTAGTAGAGACGGGGTTTCACTATGCTGGCCAGGCTGGTCTCAAACTCCTAACATCGTGATCTGCCCGCCTCAGCCTCCCAAAGTGCTGGGATTACAGGAGTGAGCCACCGTGCCCAGCCAGCATTATTTATAATTGCCAAAAAGTATAAATAACTTAAAATTTCAATATCCAAGGAACAGTTAAGTATATTAAGGTGTATCTTCTACATGGATTAGTATAATGTCATTTAAAATGATTATCATGAAGCTCCTTTAGCCAAAGGGAAAAATGCTCATAATAATGAATGGAAGAGTGGCCGGGCGAGTGAGACTCCATCTCAAAAAAAAAAATAATAATAATAATGACTGGAAGAGAAATCAGAGTAGTAAAACAGGCGTACACTCAGATTGTAAATACAGACAAAAATATGTATGTAAGAAATACTGGGCCGGGCGCGGTGGCTCACGCCTGTAATCCCAGCACTTTGGGAGGCCGAGGCGGGCGGATCACGAGGTCAGGAGATCGAGACCATCCCAGCTAAAACGGTGAAACCCCGTCTCTACTAAAAATACAAAAAAAAATTAGCCGGGCGTAGTGGCGGGCGCCTGTAGTCCCAGCTACTTGGGAGGCTGAGGCAGGAGAATGGCGTGAACCCGGGAGGCGGAGCTTGCAGTGAGCCGAGATCCCGCCACTGCACTCCAGCCTGGGCGACAGAGCGAGACTCCGTCTCAAAAAAAAAAAAAAAAAAAAAAAAAAAAAGAAATACTGGAAGGAAAATTCCCAAGTCCTAACAGAGTTGTTAGGGTGGTGGCATTATGGATGGCTCTTTTTCACTTTTTATATGTTCCAAGGTGTCTATAATATGGTCAACTCTCATTTATAATTTGCAAAGTATCTCATTTAAAACAAGATAAAGAAATATGGGCTAGGTGCGGTGGCTCATGCCTGTGATCTGAGCACTTTGGGAGGCTGAGGTGAGTGGATCACTTGAGCCCAGGAGTTTGAGATCAGCCTGGGAAACATGGCGAAACTGCATCTCTACAAGAAATTTTAAAAATAGGCCAGGGGTGGTGGTGTGCGCCAGTAGTCCCAGCTACTTGGGAGGCTGAGGTGGGAGGATCGATTGAGCCCGGGAGGTCTGCTGCAGTGACCCATGATTGCATCACTGCACTCCAGCATGGGCAACAAAGCGTGGCCCTGTCTCAGAAAAAAGGAAGAAAGAAATGTGAAAACTCTGAATGCAAAGAAAATAATTAAGGAGAGAGGCTGTGCAGACAGGGGCTGCCCTTCTCACCAGACAAGCCCCATCCTGTTGTGTGTGTAATCATCACCCTGAGTTTCCTTAGCAGACTAACCTCCCAGCATGCCTTATTGGCTCCATGCACCAGGTGAACCAAAAGATTGCTGACATAAATCTGCGTACCGAGCCGTCGGCCAACAGCCTGGTGAGTTACCTATGCTGGAGCTGAGACAAAGCTTCTGACAGGGAAGGGCCCCGGGGATCATCAAGGTGTTGCAGTGCCCTGGGGCCTCTCCATTTATTTGAAAACATGTTTACACAATTGAGTATTCAAAGTTAATTTTTTTAAAAATTAATAAACATTTTTTATTTTTTTTTGAGATGGAGTCTCGCTTTGTTGCTAGGCTAGAGTGCAGTGGCACAATCTCGGTTCACTGCAACCTCTGTCTCTTGGGTTCAAGCGATTCTCCTGCCTCAGCCTCCCGAGCAGCTGGGACTACAGGTGCGTGCCACCATGCCCAGCTAATTTTTGTATTTTTTAGTAGAGACGGGGTTTCACCATGTTGGCCAGGATGGGCTCGCTCTCTTGACTTCGTGATCTGCCCGCCTTGGCCTCCCAAAGTGCTAGGATTACAGGCGTGAGCCACCGCGCCCGGCCAATAAACTTTATTTATTTATTTTTGAGACAGAGACTTGCTCTGTCGCCAGACTGGAGTGCAGTGGTGCGATGTTGGCTCACTGCAACCTCCGCCTCCCTTTCAAGTGATTTTCCTGCCTCAGCCTCCCGAGTAGCTGGGACTACAGCCGTGTGCCACCATACCCGGCTAATTTTTTGTATTTTTGGTAGAGAAAGGGTTCCACCATGTTGGTCAGGCTGGTCTCAAACTCCCCACCTCAAGTGATCCACCCACCTCAGTCTCTCAAAGTGCTGGGATTACAGGCGTGAGCCACCACGCCCGGCCTAAACTTTATTTTTTAGAGCAATTATAAGTTCACAGCGAAATCGAGCAGAGAGTACACTTTTTTCATACACCCTCTGCTCCTGCGCATGCACAATCTCCCCCACTGTTGACATTCCATAAGATAGTGGCACATTAGTTAGAATTAACGGACCTACATTGTTACATCATCATCACTCGACATTCAGAGTTTACAATAGGATTCTTGGTGTTGTACATTCTACGAATTTGGACAAATGATGACATGTATCTACCATTGTAGTGTCACACAGCATAGTTTCGCTGTCCCAACAGTCCTCTGTGCTCCACCTGTTCACCTCTTTAATGACATGTATCTACCATTGTAGTGTCACACAGCATAGTTTCGCTGTCCCAACAGTCCTCTGTGCTCCACCTGTTCACCTCTTTAATGACATGTATCTACCATTGTAGTGTCACACAGCATAGTTTCGCTGTCCCAACAGTCCTCTGTGCTCCACCTGTTCACCTCTTTTTACTCCCTAACCCCTGGGAACCACTGTTGTTTTTACTCTCCCCAGTTTTACCTTTCCCATAATGCCATATAGTTGGAATCATATAGTACGTAGCCTTTTTACGTTGGCTTCTTTCACTTAGTATGCTTTTTAGTTTCCTCCACATCTTTTTTTTTTTTTTTTTTTTTTTGAGATGGAGTCTCACACTCTCGTCCAGGCTGGAGTGCAGTGGCGTGATCTCGGCTCACTGCAAGCTCTGCCTCCCGGGTTCACACCATTCTCCTGCCTCAGCCTCCCGATAGCTGGAACTACAGGCGCCCGCCACCACGCCAGGCTAATTTTTTGTATTTTTAGTAGAGACGGGGTTTCACCATGTTAGCCAGGGTGGTCTCGATCTCCTGACCTCGTGATCCGCCCGCCTCAGCCTCCGAAAGTGCTGGGATTACAGGCGTGAGCCACTGCGCCTGGCCAGTTCCCTCTGGGAACAACCCATCTTTTCATGGCTTGATAGTTCATTTCTTTTTAGTGCCAAATATTCCATTGTCTGAACGTACCATGGTTTATTTGTCCACTACTCAGGGACATCTTGGTTGCCTCCAAGTTTTGGCAATTACAGATAAAACTGCTGTAAGCATCCATGTCCAGGTCTTTGTGTGGGCATAAGTTTTCACTTCATGTAAGTAAATACCAGGGAGCACAATTGCTAGATCCTATGGTGAGAGTTTAGTTTTGTAAGAAACCGGCAAACGCTCTTCCAAAGTGGTGTTAACATTTTTCCTTCCCACCCGCAGTGGATGAGGGTTCTTGCGGCTCCACGTTCTCACCAGTATTTGGTGTTGTCAGTGTTCTAGATTTTGGTCATTCTGATTGCTGCGTAGTGGTATCCCATTGCTGTTTTAGTTTTCATTTCCCCAGGGACATCCGTCTTTTTATGTGCTTATTTATAGTCTGCAGATCTTCCTTGTTGAGGTGTCTGTTCAACCTTTAGCGCCAACCCCCACCCACTATTTTTTTTTTTTTGAGACAGAATCTTGCTCTGTCACCCGGGCAGGAGTGCAGTGGCGTGATCTTGGCTCACTGCAACCTCTACCTCCCAGGTTCAAGTGATTCTCCTGCCTCGGCCTCCTGAGTAGCTGGGATTACAGGCACCCACCACCACTCCCGTCTCATTTTTTGTATTTTTAGTAGAGACTGGGTTTCACCATGTTGGCTAGGCTGGTCTCGACCTCCTGACCTCAGGTGTTCCACCCGCCTCGGCCTCCCAAAGTGCTGAGATTACAGGCGTGAGCCACCATGCCCAACCTTTAGCCCATTTTTAAATCAGGTTATTTTCTTATTGTTGAGTTTTAAGATTTCGTTTAATATTTTGTTTTGGGTTGTTTTTTTGTTTTTGTTTTTTTGAGACGGAGTCTCACTCTGTCACCCAGGCTAGAGTGCAGTGGTGCAATCTGGACTCACTGCAACCTCCACCTCCTGGGTTCAAACGATTCTCCTGCCTCAGCCTCCCTAATAGCTGGGATTACAGACATGTGGCACCACGCCCAATTAATTTTTGTATTTTTAGTAGAGACAGGGTTTCACCATGTTGGCCAGGCTGGTCTCAAACTCCCGACCTCAAGTGATCCGCTCACCTTGGCCTCCCAAAGTGCTGGGATTACAGGCGTGAGCCACCACGCCCGGCCTCTTTGAATATTTTGGGTAACAGCCTTTTGTTGGATTTTCTTGCAAATATTTTCTCCTAATATGTGACTTGTCACTTCATTCTCTTGACAGTGTCTTTTCACAGAGCAGAAATTTTTAATTTTAACGAAATCTAACTTATCATTTCCTTCATGGATTGTACCTTCTGTGTCATATCTAAAAAGTCATGGCCAAACCCAAGGTCACCTAGGTGTTCTCCTCTTGTCTTCTAGGGGTTTTATAGTTTTATGTTTACATTTGATTTTGATTCATTTTGAGTTCATTTTTGTGATGGCTGGAGTTTTTACCTCTCAGGGTGTCTACACTGAGCCTCCAGAATTCATTTATGACAGTTTTGGCTTTGCTACTGGTTCCCATGGAGGTTTCTGCCCATGGGTTTATTCTCCTGCCAGTTGGCATTCTCTGTATCTACCTACCTGTCTGTTCAGTTTTCAGGCAGTAGTTTGCCCTGTGACCTCACTTCTCTGAATGATCTAAGAAGAGTTGTTGATTTTTCAGTTTATTCAGCTTTACTTATTATTGGGACAGAATGGTGACTTATGAGATCCTTACATGTGGACCTGAAATGAGAAGTCTGAAGGTTAATTTTGGTACATTTTTATTGGGAAAAAATACAAACCCTTCAATAATTCTCAAACACACGCGCACACACACGTGCGCACACACACACACACACACACACACACCTTTTCGGGAGGCAGGAGTGCTAAATGTTAAGCAAGTAGCTGTTGTGTAGCAGGCTCCCACAAGATGGAAGAACACAGGCGTGAATCATCTGTAAGTGTCTTTTTGGCTATTTTGGGTTTTGGCAATGTCGTGTATTTGTTTCTTATTTTTAACTGCACTTAAGAAATCTGAGGCATAAATCTAAAGAGCTCTAAGATATGGAGATAGAGAGATTTGAAAATGAGAGCAGCAAAGAAATGTCAACCAACAAGTCGCTACTAAAGACCTGCTTCTCGATGGTGGCTATGAGGCAGAGGATTACAATGATGAAGATGTACTCTTTGAGAGATCCTGTGAGCTGCAGGCAAGTTCGCCTGCAGGTTTTTCTCTCTTTGTTTTGTTTTTTTTTTTTTTTTTGAGATGGAGTTTCACTCTTGTCGCCCAGGCTGGAGTGCAATGGTGCGATCTCAGCTCACTGCAACCTCCGCCTCCCAAGTTCAAGCAATTCTCCTGCCTCAGCCTCCCAAGTAGTGGGATTATAGGCACGTGCCACCACGCCCGGCTAATTTTTTATTCAGGAGCCACTATAAATGCATAAAAAATTCAGGACCCAATGCAGACCCAGGAAATAAGCATCTCTAATGCAAAGGCCCGGGAATCTGTGTATTTGAATACTTCCCCAAAATGCCGGTCATTGGTCCGGTTTGGGAGTTGCCTTCCTGGAGAACAGCCCTGCTTGTAGGCCCTGAAGTCATCTCAAAGGTAAACTCAGCCCAGTGCTGGTCTTACCATCTTTCCCCCCAAAACTTGCTCTTCTTTCAGCATTCAACTATCCTTTCTCTCCCCTCTTTCTGTGCAAATCTTATCCATCCTTCCAGGCCATACAGTGTCTGCTATAATGACATTGGTAAAGATCAGAGATATTGCTATATTGCTACAGTGACTCATACCCATCCAATTCATTCCTCATGCCTTAAATTTCAGCTTACTTAATTGGAGCAACAATGTTAATACATAGACTAACCCCTGTGACCGCCCCCCCACCACTGGCACACACACATACACACACCCCTGCACACATGCCCAGTACCTTTCACTCATGCAGACCAGGGAGTGCTGATGCAAGGGAAAGATGGGGGAGGCCTGGAGAGGTATTTCCCAGTTTATCAAGCTCAGGAGCCTGATGCCACCAACACTCATGTCCACCTCTTCTGGACAGTCCTCTGTGACTGCTCTGGCCCACGTTGACCTCACTTTGATTCGTAATCACAGCAGTTTAGCATTTAATTGTTCCACGAGTGCTGATTTGGCTCTCCAAATAGAGTGTAAGTCCCTTGAGGGCAAAAACACAGACTCATACTTGTTTGTTAACTTTGTTATCCAAGCTCATTGCTGGACTCTTGGTTGACAATCAATGCAACTTGGGTCACTAGCATTCATTTTTCTGTCTTCCTTTTCAGGGGCGTAGGAGGATGGGGGTGGGGAAGAGTCAGAGATCAAGAGAAGTCTCTCTTGAGAGGTCAAGGGTAGATAATAGAGACCCCTTATTGAACAGCTCCTATCTGGTAGCCTCTTTGCCAGTGTTTTAAAATACATTAAACACTTTATTTTTGACCCTTATAAGAACCCTAGAAGAGGCTGGACGTGGTGGCTCACACCTGTAATCCCAGCACTTTGGGAGGCCGAGGTGGGCAGATGAGGAGGTCAGGAGATCAAGACCATCCTGGCTAACACGGTGAAACCCCATCTCTACTAAAAATACAAAAAATTAGCCGGGCGTGGTGGCAGGCGCCTGTAGTCCCAGCTACTCGGGAGGCTGAGGCAGGAGAATGGGGTGAACCCAGGAGGCGGAGCTTGCAGTGAGCCGAGATTGCACCACTGCATTCCAGCCTGGGCAACAGAGCGAGACTCCGTCTCAAAAAAAAAAAAGAACCCTGGAAGATAGATATTATTATCCCCCTTTTACAAAGAGATTAAACAATAGCTTGTTTAATTTCTAATTCCTGCTCTAAATCACATACTCCTAGAAGAAGGGGCAGTGTGAGACAGTGGGGACACTCTGGGGGATGATGTCAGTGACACTGAGGCCACCAGGACCTACCACCTGGAAAGACAAGGCACTGTCCACAAACTTTGCTCCAGGTCTTTTGTGCACCAACAAGAGGAAACGCCTAGACCCTAACCCCACCCTTCTCCAGGATTTGCATTAATCCCTAATGCCCCCCTTTTTCTTGGTTTTTGAAGGCAATTGAGAGATTTGAGTTGGAGAAGAAGGCTTTAAGAGAGAAAACTCGCAGCAGTCCAGAAGACAAAGGCAAAAACCTTTCCCTCAGCCTTGATGCTCTTTTCATGGGGTTTGTTTTTTTAGTATCTAAAATGCAACTGAGTAGGAATCCCAAGTTTCAGATGAGGATGTTTCTGTCTTCTTCTGAAGGAGCCTTAAATCTGACTTCTTGACATTGGGCAAGGAAGGAGGGAGGGGCAGTACCATTTAGAGACCACCTACATGTGGCACCAGGTGCTTTTATCCACATTCCCTTGGTTTTTTTTTTTTTTTTTCGAGACGGAGTCTCGCTCTGTCTCCCAGGCTGGAGTGCAGTGGCGTAATCTCTGCTCACTGCAACCTCCGCCTCCCGGGTTCAAGCAATTCTCCTGCCTCAGCCTCCTGAGTAGCTGGGATTACAGGGGCTCGCCACCGTGCCTGGCTAATTTTTGTATTTTAGTAGAGATGGGGTTTTACCATGTTGGCCAGGCTGTTCTTGAACTCCTGGCCTCAAGTGATCCGCCTGCCTCAGCCTCCCAAAGTGCTGGGATTACAGGTGTGAGCCACTGTGCCCGGCCCCTTGTTAAATTTTTATAACACCTGGGAAGTAGGTACCATTTAATATATTTTATAGATGAGGAAACAGCCTTGGAGGGAGGGGAGTAACTTACCTAAAGTCACAGTCTGTCTGCTCCTCCTTGCTGCTTCTCTGGATCAAGTGGTCTAATCAGATAAGTCGGCAACACAGTTGGGACCTATGAGACTAGTAGTAGGAGTGTCCTCTGGCAGCTCAAGTGGAATGAAAAAGCACAGTTGTAAGCACCGCACAGCTGTGGACAGACCCTGTGGTTACTCATTTATCTCTTTCTCCATTTTTCTGCAGTCAAGAGACAAAGGAAATCTCAGTATTCCTGCAAAGGCTCCGAACTCAGACATGCCAGATCTTCTGTTATAAAAAGGGTAAGGGATCTACTGCTGTGTCTGTTTCTGACCGGCTTCTGCTAGGCATGAAATAAAGATTTTATTCCTGGGGAGGAGAATACTTGGTGCCTGGGTAGTGATTATGAAGGAAAAATCGCAGAGCTCCTGAATCTAGAATTTCTCATAACACCCTTACAACAGCAGAGCTGACCCCAGCCTCAGAATAGGGAAGGTGACAGAGGTCATGTGTCTGTTTATTTTTAGAACTTAGAAGGTGTCTCTGCTCAGAGATGTTCAGGTCTAATCCAGAGCCACTGTGCCATGCAGCTTCAAGGGGCTGTCCACACTGCAGGCTCCTGTGCAGCTGCTCTGAGTCACACCCCATGCTAGTTGTACCACTGCAGAGTTGCTGCGGATGCCTCAGGAAGCTGAGATTCAGGAGCAGAAGGTGACTTGTCACAGGGTCATGCAGCTCACTGATGGCAGGCCCCACTTCCTGCTCAGTCCTCTGACTTGAGACAGGCTCTCCCCACTGCCTCCCCTGCAGCAATCTGGCCCCACCGCACAGCCCCCCATTTCAGATCCTCCTTGGCTTGTTCTTTATTTCTTTTTTTCTTTTTGAGATGGGGTCTCTCTCTGTCACCCAGGCTGGAGTGCAGTGGCACGATCTCAGCTTACTGCAACCTCCGCCCCCAGGGTTCAAGTGATTCTCCTGTCTTAGCCTCCCAAGTAGCTGGGATTAAGACATGCACCACCACACCTGGCTAAATTTGCATTTTTGGTAGAGATGGGGTTTCACCATGTTGGCTAGGCTGGTCTCGAACTCTTGACCTCAAGTGATCTGTCCATCTCAGCCTCCCAAAGTGCTGGGATTACAGGTGTGAGCCACCGTGCCCAGCCCTTAGCTTGTTCTTTACACTGCCTAGGTCTTAAGTATCCAAACCTTTAACTGCTAGGGAATCTGAAACAGTATGTTGTTCTTATCCTTCTTAACACCTTTTAGCCTAGGAAATTCCAAAACAGCACAAGGCCTAAGGGAGGTGTGGGTCTGCATTGGAACTGTCATACAATCCATTGATGGTGGCTGAGCTAAGTGTCCTGCAAAGGTGGCACAGCCAGCACATGGCGGAGCTGCCACCTGACTGCAGTCATCTAACTCAGAGTCAGTGCCGTGAATCATGAACTGTTCTTTCATTGACCATGGCCAGAGCCCAGTTAGGAAGTCAGCTGGGCCATCCAGGTGTTTCAGTGGGCACCTTTGGGTGGCGGTAATTAGTTTCCTATTTTCCATATTTTTACATTTTTTATAGTCATCATGTTTTAGTTTTATCCTAAAAATCATTTAATGATATATATTAACCACAAAGATAGTAATATCCAATATTAGCATTTTAAGAAATTCACACTAAATAACCCCAAAGGGAGGGGAACTACATGCTCCAAGCTATTCGTGATATTAGTAGTAATTGGAAGTAATCAGTGAGTAGTTAATTAAATTATAGCACGTCTTAACAGGATATATCATCTTAAATGATAATTCTGAAGACAACATAACTACATGAAAATCTAAAGTGAAGTAGATAAAGCAGGACATAAAAATCACATATATATTTTACTTCTTAGAACGATCAAAGTCAGCCAGACGAATCATATATAAATCATATTACGATTGAAGTTACGTATTTGTGTTCGTGTACATTTCCTCAAATCATATAAGGGAAAACAGAAATAATGTAGATAGCACTTTAGGAGGCTGAGGCAGGTGGATCACCTGATGTCAAGAGTTCAAGACCAGCCTGGCCAACAGTTTTTAGTAGAAACCCTGTCTCTACCAAAAATACAAAAAATTAGCTGGGCATGGTGGCGGGCACCTGTAATCCCAGCTACTCAGGAGGCTGAGGCAGGAGAATTGCTTGAACCAGGAGGCAGAGGTTGCAGTGAGTCGAGATCATACCATTGCACTCCAGCCTGGACAACAAGAGTGAAATTTCGTCTCAAAAAAAAAAAAAAAAAAGAAATAATGTAGATAGGAGTTTGGAAGGGGTCCTAGGATCCTAAACACCCCTCATTTTCTCAACATTCTATAAGGTTGTTATATTGTCTTCATAATAAAGAGGGGAAGCTAGCCTATTGTTTCACACTGTCAAAATGTGAACCCCATTTTCATATTCTGCTCTTTTGCTTCAGAAAACAGCAGATAAAAATCTGCTGGCAGAGCTGTACCAGTATTCCAACTTCAACAGCTCCAAGCCAAACAAGCTTCCGAATGGCGTGGACTTCTGTGACATGGTGGGCAACGTGGTCCGGGCTGAGAGAGACTGCCTTAGTGGCAAGGTGAGGAAAAAGCAGTGCCTGCCCTGAGTTTGCCAACCCATGGGGCAAATGCAGCTGTCACCCTTTCACACCCCAGGAGAAACTGAGGAACTCACCTAGGGCCACAGGCTTGCAGGTGTCTGAGCTGAGCTAGGAACCCTAGCCCAACCTCACTGCAAAACCTAGATTCCTTCTACCAGAGCAACGGTCTTCAGACTGTTTTGATCACATATCCTACTGGTGTGCAATTTTTATCACAAACCCTCATTGAAACGTGTCTGTTTATAAATTATATACTTATTCTGTTGCCAATCACTACAATGCATATGAGTATGCTTAATCTCTCTTTTTTCTTTTCTTTTCTGTTTCCTTCTTCCCTCCCTCCTTCCTTCCTTTCTTTTTTCTTTCTTTCTTTCCTTCTTTCTCTCTCTTTCTCTTTCTCTCTTCTTTCTTTCCTTCTTTTTCTTTTTTCTTACTTTTTTGAGACAGGGTCTCCCTCTGTACCCAGGCTGGAATGCAGTGGCACTATCATAGCTCACTGCAGCCTCAAACTCCCAGACTCAGGTGATCCTCCCGCCTCAACCTCCTGAATAGCATGCACCACCACACTGGCTAGTTTTTAAAAAAATTTTTTTGTAGAGAGGAGGTCTTGCTAGGTTGCCCAGGCTATTCTCCAACTCCAGGGCTCAAGCCATCTTCCCCTCCCCATCCTCGGCCTCCCAAAGTGCTGGGATTACAGGTGTGAACCACTATGCCCAGCCAATTGCTTTTCTTTCTTATGTAGACATTAGTTAGAATATTTTCTTCTCATGCCTCTGGGGGTGAGTATGCTTCCTTGCAGAGCTGCGCACTAGAGCATGCTGGGTTCCTTGGGAAGAAAGCAAGGAAGTATTCTAAGGCCCAGAGGAACCTGTTTGCTCAGGCGACACAAACACTGGCAACTCTGGAGATGGGAGATCCTTGTAGGGAGGTCTTGGAGAAGGGAGGAAGCCCAGGAAATGGTCTCGGCCACTGTACAGCTGTGCCTCATGGCTCTTCATCACATAACTCTTGTCCCCAAAGCAGCTCTGATCATTGTCCCCTGAGCTCCTAACCAGTCACCCCACCATTCCTGAGACCCAGCATCTCAGTCTGTTCTACCTGTAGTTCTCACTGCTGCTTTGAGCCACACCCCATCTCTCTATCTCTGTCTCCCTCTCCTTCTCCCCATGCCCTTCCTTCCTTTTTTTTTTTTTTTTTTTTTGAGACAGAGTCTCGCTCTGTCGCCAGGCTGGACAGAGTGCAGTGGCGCGATCTCAGCTCACTGCAAGCTCCGCTCCCTGATTCAGGCGATTCCCCTGCCTGAGATTACAGGCATGTGCCACCACACCCAGCTAATATTTGTATTTTTATTAGAAACGGGGGTTTCACTGTTGGCCAGGCTGTTCTCGATCTCCTGACCTTGTGATCCGCCCGCCTCAGCCTCCCAAAGTGCTGGGATTACAGGTGTGAGCCACTGCGCCCGACCCCCTCCTCTCTTCTTCATGGCTTCTTCCTGCTGCCTTCTCTCTGGGCTATGTCGGTCCCATCTGTTTCTTACATTCGGACTTCCTAAGAGAGATGATCTGTTTGGGCCAGTCACTGCCCAGAATGACAGTGCTGTTTGCTGGCATGGCCTGCAGTCAGTCAGTGGAAGGGGCGCTGGTCTCTGGGCCTGGCAGCGGTGGCCCAGGTGTTGGGTACCTGATTCCCTTTGCTCCTGCTTTCCTCGGGAGAGGCAGTAGGAGGGACAGGTGCTCAGAGCATCACGTTCCCTACAGGACAGTGTACAAAGATGCTCACCACAGTGTTCGTTACAATAGCAAGGAAGTGGAAAGCAGTACATCTGGGTGGTTAAGCGCCTCTCTGAGCTTTAATTTCTTCTCCTGTAAAATGGAGATAAAATCAGTCTCTACCTTGAGGTGTTATTGTGAAATAAATAAGATAATGCATGTAAAGGTGCCTAGCACAGTGCTAAAAGTCATAAATTCTAAGAAAACGGTAGTTTGTATGATTAGTGTTATTAGAAACAGTTTAATGGTCAATAATAGAGGAACAGCATGGTCATTTTTGACATCTATATCATGGACTGTGTAGCCATGATAAAATGTGATGATAAAAGTGAATGTTTATAAAGAGTGTATGTTAACATTTCATGCTGTGTTGTTGAATGAAAAGTATCAGTATGGAAAACTCTCTACAATTCAATCTTTTTTTTTTTTTTTTTTTTTTGAGACAGAGTCTTGCTCTGTCTCCCAGGCTGGAGTGCTGTTGCACAGTCTCAGCTCACTGCAACCTCCCCTTCCTGGGTTCGAGCACTTCTCCTGTCTCAGCCTCCCTGAGTAGCTGGGACTACAGATATGCAGCCACCATGCCTGGCTAATTTTTTGTATTTTTAGTAGAGACAGGGTTTCCCCATGTTTGCCAAGCTGGTCTTGAACTCCTGACCTCAAGTGGTCCACCTGCCTCCGCCTCCCAAAGTGCTGGGATCACAGGTGTGAGCCACCACACCTGGCCAATAATTCAATCTATGTAAGTGCACACGTGGGAAAATTTTAAATGAAATACATAGATATTACCACTGGTCTCTGAGTTACAAGGTTATAAGATGATAGGCCGGGCACAGTGGCTTACGCCTGTAATCCCAGCACTTTGGGAGGCAAAGGTGGTTGGATCACGAGATCAGGAGATCAAGACCACCCTGGCCAATGTGGTGAAACCCTGTCTCTACTAAAAATACAAAAATTAGCCAGGCGTGGTGACACACACCTGTAATCCCAGCTACTCAGGAGGCTGAGGCAGGAGAATTGCTTGAACCCGGGAGGTGGAGGTTGCAGTGAGCCAAGATGGCACTACTGCACTCCAGTCTGGGGATATAGTGAGACTCCATCTCAAACAAACAAAAAAATATTATAGTTGTTTTCTTCCTTTTACTTCTTCTATTTTCAAATTGTCTGTAAGAAGCACATGGAGTTGTGCTTCTTGGACCCGCTGTTCCTGCACAGTTTGCCTTGACAGACTGCCTGGGCACAGCCTGAGTGTTCACAATTCATTTGCGGGGTGGAAAGCCCCCAAGGACAGACTGCTATGTTATTTAATGCCCCATTTTTGAGGTCCTATGAGGAACGTTTTCCTTCAGACTTACTACAAATAAAACTGTGCAACTCCCGGAATGGTTTCAGCCTTACAGCTGATACTGTTTCTTGCTTTTCTTTGGCTCCCAGGAAACTCAAAGCAAATTTGTGCCCCGTCTTCGAAAGGACCTTCTTCTACTCTGCTTAGGGGCCATGTCAAACTTTCACTCACCTCCTCAAATCCTCTCCTCCGTTACCTCCCCTCACTCTTGGCATCAGCTGTGCCTCTGCTTTAGAGAGTCTGGGGGCTGCCAGCAACCCTGAGCTCCACAAGGACAAAAGCCTTTCCCACCTTGCCCCATCTGGGAGTGCCTTCTCAGCTCCGCACCAGCCCTCGCCTGGGACTTCTTGGAGGAGCTGTCCACATATGCTGGCTTCATGTTCTCATCTCCATTCTCTTCATCCAGCTGTGGCCTGGGTTCCCACCCTCACCCACTGCTGAAAGTGTCCCGAGTCAATCATTAGCTTTCACCTTGTCGAATCTAAAGACTGTGTTTCTGTTGTTATTAGATGACCTCTGGTAGAACTGACCCAGAGGACAACTCCCTGCATTTTGAAGTTCTTTCCCCTTTGGTTTTGGTGGGTCATTCTCCCTCTATGCAAACAGCACTATCTTGGTGTCCCAGGCCCCTTTATCACCCATGTTCTTTGGGACCCCTCCCTTCTACTCTCTGTCGTCTCTCTCTGCACAAACCCTAGGGGGCAGGTGGACCTTGGTCATTGTCTTAGTCTCTTTGTGCTGCTATCACAGAATATCTGAGACTGGTAATTTATAAAGAACAGAGATTTATTTCTTTCAGTTCTGGAGGCTGGCAGGTTCAAGATCAAGGGGCCACATCTGGTGAGGGCCTTCGTGCTGTGTTATCCCATGGTAGAAGATGGAAGAGAGGGGGCGAAAGGACTGAAATTGCTTTTGTAACTGACCCACCTCCAGATAACCACATTAATCCATTCATGAGGGTGGAGCCCTCTAACCCAGTCACCTCTTCTTAGGCCCCAGCTTCCAACACTGTTGCACTGGGGATTAAGTTTCTAGTACATGAACTTTGGGGAACACATTCAGACCATAGCAATCATATTCCCACATGAGACCAATCACTACTTCAGAATTGTGTCACTTCCTCCAAGGCCTTCACTACACTGCAGACTCCCATATCGCTCCATCCCTCTGCCTCTATCTAACCTCAGTGCCCCTCAGGCTCTCATACCCATCCGTTCTGCTTTTCCTCCAGGGCTCGCCGTCTTGTTGAAAACACAGCTTTCCACCTGGGCATCAGCCAGTCTCCTCCCTTACCCTCATCTCTACCTCTGCGCACTCTTAGGAAGATTTAACTACCGTCTTTCCTGTGTCTCCTCCCCTTCCCACTGGCCACTGTCAAGTTCAGGCACCACAACTTCCTGTCTGGGTTACTGTGTCTTCTGCCCAGCGCTGTCTGCCTTGCAGTTCTAATCCCCTCCAGTGCGTCTTGTACACTGCCACCAGGGATCTTTCTAGAACACCAATGTCACAGTGTTCTGCCCTGTTGAAAATGTCTCAGCACCAGTACCTTTTCTCCCCCTGTCCAGTTTCAGAACCGCTCCCAGTCCCGGCACCAGGCGCCTCATAGCCTGGCTCCTGCTTGCTCTTTCGCCACCTGCACCCAGTGCTTCCACTGCACAGAAACCCCTTGGAGTACCCCACATGTGTCAAGTGCTTCCATAGCCTCTGCACACGCTTTCCCCGTCTCTGAGGAGCTCTCAGCTCTCCCTTCATCATGCAGTTATTTTCTTACATCATATTTTATTTTTGACTCGAGGGTACCTGTGCATGTGTGTGACATGAGTATATTGCATACTGGTGAGGATTGGGCTTCTAGTGAACCCATTTCCCAAATAACAAACATTGTACCAGACAAGTTATTTTTCAACCCTCGTCCTCATCATCCTCCCCCTTTTGAGAGTCCCCCGTGTCTATTGTTTCCATCTTTATGTCCACGCGTACCCAGTGTTCAGCTCCCACTTATAAGTGAGAACATGCAGTATTTTGTTTTCTGTTTCTGAGTTAGATCACTTAGGATAGTGCCTCCAGCTCCATCTATGTTGCTGCAAAGGACACGATATCATTCTTTTTTTATGGCTGCATCATCCAGTTTTTGTTTTGTTTTGTTTTTTTGAGTAAGACACTCGCTCTGTCGCCCAGGCTGGAGTAGAGTGGTGCAATCTCGGCTCACTGCAACCTCCGCCTCCCAGGTTCAAGCGATTCTCCTGCCTCAGCCTCTCAAGGGCCTGGGATTATAGATGCGCATCACCACACCTGGCTAATTTTTGTATTTTTAGTAGAGACAGGGTTTCACCACGTTGGCCAGACTGGTCTCGAACTCCTGACCTGAGGTGATCCACCTGCCTCGGCCTCCCAAAGTGTTGGGATTACAGGCGTGAGCCACTGCGCCTGGCCATCCAGTTATTTTTACTCGTAACACTGTCCCGAGACCTGAAGCGCAGATGAGATGCCCTCTCTGGGCTCCACATCCCCCTGGGATGCCTTGTCCCGGGGATCCTATCACACTGTTGTAAATGTCTCTTTATCTGTGAAACCCTGGAGGGCAGGGAGTCTATGGCATCATCTTGAGCACCTGGAGGTGCTCAATAAATATTTGTTGAAGAGCTGACATGAAATCCTTTTTGAAAGGTGGGAGGAGTGTGAATGAATAAACAATCAGTAACTAGTATACTCCTGTCAAGTGTTTCCTGAATGCCTGGCAGTGTTCTAAGCCCTAATAGGAACCACTCATCGAACCTCCACAACAGTCCTTGAGGCGGGGACCATGACCATCTCCATGTGTTTTGTGAAAGAATCGAGCACAGAGGGGTTCAGTAACTTTGCTCAAAGTCACACAGCCAATAAGTGAAAGAGCTGGATTTGAATCCAGGCAGTCTGGCACCCAAGTCTGTGCTCTTAATCACTCCACTAGACTGCCAGTCTGAAGAAACACGAGGAAAAGTGAGAAAGACAAAGCAAAGAGCGGGGCTCAGAGAGCTCCTTACGAGTGGATGAGGCTCGTTTATCCATGCATGTCGATCTTACCTGTGCGGAGGCTGCAGGGCAATGCCACCGGGTCTTTCCGTCTGCATCCCAGAGATGGCTGATGGTAAAGGAGAGGCACCTGTGTGTGAGTGCGGGTAAAGAAGAGGCACGCTTCCTGATGGTAAAGGAGAGGCACCTGTGTGTGAGTGATGGTTAAAGAAGAGGCACGCTTCCTGATGGTAAAGGAGAGGCACCTGTGTGTGAGTGATGGCAAAGAAGAGGCACGCTTCCTGATGGTAAAGGAGAGGCACCTGTGTGTGAGTGATGGTTAAAGAAGAGGCACGCTTCCTGATGGTAAAGGAGAGGCACCTGTGTGTGAGTGATGGATGGTAAAGAAGAGGCACGCTTCCTGATGGTAAAGGAGAGGCACCTGTGTGTGAGTGATGGTAAAGAAGAGGCACGCTTCCTGATGGTAAAGGAGAGGCACCTGTGTGTGAGTGATGGTAAAGAAGAGGCACGCTTCCTGATGGTAAAGGAGAGGCACCTGTGTGTGAGTGATGGTAAAGAAGAGGCACGCTTCCTGATGGTAAAGGAGAGGCACCTGTGTGTGAGTGATGGTAAAGAAGAGGCACGCTTCCTGATGGTAAAGGAGAGGCACCTGTGTGTGAGTCTGGGCCCAGGCTACTCGCTTTGGAACCTCCTGGCCCATGTAAGCTCAGGCAAGAATGCTGACCTTTCAGTCCTTACTTTCCTCTTCTATACAGTAGGATAACTGTACTACCTACCACATAGATTGTGGAAAATAAAGTGAGAGGAGGTGTTAGCCCTGGGGCAGATACAGGAAGTGTTCACTAAATGGTACATGTTATATTATTATAGTGGGAGCTTTGGAGCCAGGGCAAGGGTGAAGACCCAGTTGTATGACAACGGAAGCTACATCTCTGCTGCTCTGAGCTCACGGATAATTCCATTTTAACTTTAGAATTCCACATGCTTACTGCTAACTCAGCAGAATCTTATAGTTCAGTGGTTTATGTTTGCCCATTAACTGCGTTGGTTGATATTAGTTGCTGTTGGCTGAGTGTAGGAGGTGAGAGCTGGAGGTAGTTGGTGTGGAGCAGCTGTCCAGAGTCTAGATTTGTGGGTTCCAGTCCTGGCTCAGCCACTTGCCACTTTGGTCCTCGGTTTCCTCATCTATGAGATAATGATGTATTCCTCATAAGACTATTATAGGGGTTAAATGAGAGTATGTAAAATTACCTGGGTAGGGCCTCACTAACAGATTAGGTGGTTTTTCTGTTCATTCTAAAATACATTGACTCCAGATGGATTTTTAAAAAGATAACAACAATAATAATACTGTGAATTTTTTTTTCCAAGCATTTCTGTTCAGGTAGAGAATTAGAGAAGTTTCTCTCTTCTTCTTCTCCAAGAGCCATCTGGCTGGATAGCTTTTGGTGGATATTTCATGAGAGGTACCAGGTAAATACAAATCTGCTTGTTTCTCTGCCTTGCTTAAGTTATTTTTCTACAGAACAAATTCCATTCTCTTTGACATGAGCTACAAGCCCCTCTGATCCCATGGAGCACCCCACAGCCTCCCCTGTCACCCAGTCCCCTCCCGTCCCATGCCTCAGCCACACACCCTGTGCTTCAGCCATTGCACAATGCCCTGCGGCTCCCCCAGGCTTTAGGAGCTGGTTGCACAGCTGTCACAGGCAGGGTTGAGAGTAGACCTCAGGACTTCTGGGCCAGTGTTAGGGTGCCGTCTTCAACAGCGCTCTGCCTCTGTGTACGTGCTTTGTACATCTTATCCCCAAAAATGAACACATTATTTCATAAAGCATATGAGGCTAAATATCTTGAGAATAAGATTCTTGGAAATGAAAACAATACTGATTTAAAAATCCCAGCCCCTCAGTTGTTTCAGCAAGGGACTTTAGTAATTCCTTTTTCATTTCTATTCCTGGCAGCCAAACAAGGAGCTCCAGAATAATCTGTTTGACCGGATAGCCCAGCACTATGCCTTACTTTTGTTTCGTGTACCCAAGTCCCACTCTGAAGAGGCGCTCTTAAAAGTGAGCATCAGCCACTATCTAGAAAAAAAGTCACATTAGATTTCTGTTCATTTCTGATGCCAAGAGAATGTCTTAAACATTCTTTACATAAGGGAGTAATTAGTAAATTGTCATAATCCATACACTGACTTGCAATGCAGAAGTTACAAAAATACAGTAGAGCTATTTATACTGATCGGGAGATGCAATGATATATTTAAGTGAAAAACAAAGCAATTTGTACAACTCTATATGATATATATACCTATGAATAGAAAAAAAAAACCTGGAAAAATATTTACCAAACTCTTAGCAATGCTTATCACTGGGAAGTGAGGTTATAAGAAACTTTCCCAGCCGGGCATGGTGGCTCACACCTGTAATCCCAGCACTTTGGGAGGCCAAGGCGGGCGGATCACCTGAGGTCAGGAGTTTAAGACCAGCCTGGTCAACATGGCAAAACCCTGTCTCTACTAAAGATACAAAAATTAGCTGGGAGTGAGTGGCAGTTGCCTGTAATCCCAGCTACTCGGGAGGCTGAGGCAGGGTTCACATGAACCCGGGAGGCGGAGGTTGCAGTGAACCGAGATTGCAGCATTGCACTACAGCCTGGGCAACAGAGTGAGACTCTGCCTCAAAAAAACAAACAAACAAAAAAAAAACTTTCCCTTTCCATTTTATTATTTATTTTGAGACAGAGTCTCACTCTGTCGCCCAGGCTGGAGTGCAGTAGTATGATCTCGACTCACTGCAACTTCCAATTCCTGGGTTCAAGCAATTCTCCTGCCTCAGCCTTCCGAGTAGCTGGGATTACAGGTGCGTACCACCACACCCGGCTAATTTTTGTGTTTTTAGTAGAGACAGGGTTTCACCATGTTGGCCAGGCTGGTCTCAAACTCCTGATTTCAAGTGATCTGCCTGCCTCGGCCTCCCAAAGTGCTGGGATTACAGGCATGAGCCACTGCGCCCGGCCTCCCTTTCCATTTTATATTTTTCTGTAGTATTTAAATAAGCATATAATTTTAAAATTTAAAATGTGACTACACATATATACTTTTTATATAGGTATATATGTATGTATATATATACTAAAAGGATTGCTAGAAGAAAATATAAGTGAATACTTACATGATTTAGGGATGAGGAAGGACTTTCTTTGTTTTCTTTTCTCTAGAAACAGAGTCTGGCTTTGCTGCCAGGGTGGTGCAATCATAACTCACTGTAGCCTCAAATTCCTAGGCTTGAACTATCCCCCTACCTCAGCCTCCTGAGTAGCTAGGACTACAGGCATGCACCACCACACCTAGCTAATTTCTCTCTCTATATATAGAATATATATACGTGTATATATATATATATATATATATTTTTTTTTTTTTTTTTTTTTTTTTTTGAGACAGAGTCTCTCTGTCGCCCAGGCTGGAGTGCACGGTCGCAGCTCACTGCAACCTCTGTCCTCCTGGTTCAAGTGCTTCTCCTGCCTCAGCCTCCCAGGTAAATGGGATTACAGGCATGCACCACCACACCCAGCTATTTTTTTTTATTTTTTTTATTTTTAGTAGAGACACAGTTTCACCATGTTGGCCAGGCTGGTCTCAAACTCCTGACCTCAGGTGATCCACCCGCCTCGGCCTCCCAAAGCGTTGTGATTACAGGCGTGAGCCACCGCACCCGGCCCCATTTTACTTCTTAGATTGTGTAAATTAAAGAGTATAGCCAAGTGCAGTGGTACACACCTCTATTCCCAGCTACCGAGAAGGCTGAGGCAAGTGGATTAGAGGATCACTTCAGCCAGGAGTTCAAATCCAGCCTGGGTAACACAGTGAGAACCTTGTCTCTAAACAACAACAACAACAAAAACTATATATAAAAAAAGAAAGTCCTTCCTCATCCCCAAATCATGTAAGCCGGGTGGAAATGTTGAGAACGTTGCCTGAGCTCGGCTTGCTCCGCAGAGGCTGCCATCACTTCTCAGCAAAGCCGTGTACACCAGCTTCTGTTGCTGCTTTCCACAGTCCTGGTTCGACACGCACGAATTCAAGTCTGACATCTGTAACACAATGAGCCTGTGGATTTCAGGTGAGAGGTGACTTTTTTCCACCGGGGAAAGCGATTCTAGAAAAATGTTTTCCGCTGGCACCTAGGTATGTTATTGTTTGCTATGACACCCCTTCATGAAGGCATTCTCTCTTTTCTCTCCTTAACATTAAAGAGAGCAAAGTATGTGGTTGGAGCCCCAAGGAATACAAATTTTCCTGCTTCCTCAAAACAGTTCTGAGACATCCCTTCCTAATCCTTTTTTTTTTTTTTTTTTTGGAGATAGAGTCTCGCTCGGTCACCCAGGCTGGAGTGCAATGGTGCGATCTGGGCTCACTGCAACCTCCGCCTCCCAGGTTCAAGTGATTCTCCTGCCTCAGCCTCCTGAGTACTGGGATTACAGGCATGTACCACCATGCCCGGCTAATTTTTGTATTTGTAGTAGAGACAGGGTTTCACCATGTTGGTCAGGCTGGTCTCAACCTCCTGACCTCATAATCCGCCTGCTTCGGCCTCCCAAAGTGCTGGGATTACAGGCATGAGCCATGGCGCCTGGCCCCTAATCCCCTTTTTGTGTTCAGCTACATCTACAGGGAGTGAGGGGCCATATCCTAATAAGATAGCAAAGTTTCAACACAGCCCTGTTAGTTAACCATGTGCTGTGGGCTGCTGCACCCAGGACTCAGGGACTCAAAAGCAGTATGCGGGTTTAGATCATCCCACCCTTCTACCCTCCATGTGACCCCCCAGTGGCCAATCATGGTTCTCTCCCTCCAGCACACACAGGACCAGCTTGATGCCTGCTTTTTCTTTCTTTCTTTTTTTTTTTTTTTTGAGACGGATCTCGCTCTGTCGTCCAGGCTGGAGTGCAGTGGCACAATCTCTGCTCACTGCAACCTCAGCCTTCCGGGTTCTTGCCATTCTCCTGCCTCAGCCTCCCGAGTAGCTGGGACTATAGGTGCCCACCACTACGCCCAGCTAATTTTTTGTATTTTTAGTAGAGACGGGGTTTCACTGTGTTAGCCAGGATGGTCTTGATCTCCTGACCTCGTCATCCGCCCAACAAGGCCTCCCAAAGTGCTGGGATTACAGGCGTGAGCCACCATACCCGGCAGATGTCTGCTTTTTCAACCGCCTCCTAGTCCCCTCCCCCACCTCAACCTTGACATTTTCTAAGTTCATTAAAAGCTACCATTTATAGGAAGGTTCCTGTGTACCTGGTGCTGTGCTAAGTAAGCACTTTTAAATTTCCTATTGTGTTGGGGCTTCCTAAGATCACCCCCATGTTAGAAGATTTGCTAGAAGAACTCATAGGTCTCTGCGTTTAAGTGTAGTCTCGCTATGATTTATTACAGTAATGTAGTAAGGAAATAGAGCTGGATTATAAGGGAAAAAGGTAGAGTTTGGAGGAATCCATACGCAGACTTCCTTATGCCCCTCCCTCCCATAAGGAGTCATACAGAACCCACTCATCCCCCTACAATGAAAATCTAGCAACATGTGTGTGTTGCTTCTGCCCAGGGAAGCCCATTAGAGCTGGAGTCCTCAAAGTTTTCATTGGGATCGTCACATAGACACCTCTGTCTGTCACGTACCACAATTCCAGGAAGGCAGTGTTCAGCATAAGCCACATAGTTTCTACCAACAGTATAGGCACAACGAGCCATTCTTCTTCCGTTAAGAGAGTTTTATATTAGTGGAAGAAACTGTTTACTAGCCAGGTTCCCAGAGGCCAGCCAAGGCATCCTCGCAAGCAGGCCTTTCTAAGGATAGCAGTCTCAGGCCTGCTGTGTTAACTCTTCTGCACACCCATTTAATCTTTTTTTTTTTTTGAGATGGAGTTTTGCTCTTATTGCCCATGCTGGAGGGCAATGGCAGGATCTCTGCCTCCAGGGTGCAAGTGATTCTCCAGCCTCAGCCTCCTGAGTAGATGGGATTACAGGTGCATGCCACCATGCCCGGCTAATTTTTGTATTTTTAGTAGAGATGGGGTTTCACCATGTTGGTCAGGCTGGTCTCGAACTCCTGACCTCAGGTGATCCACCTGCCTCAGCCTCCCAAAGTGCTGGAATTACAGGCATGAGCACTGAACAAGTGTTGATTCCAGGGCTGTGCCACTCCAAAGCTGGGTCTTTGACCATTATGCCACCCTGCCTCCCATTTTCTGACTGTCTTCTCTTCTTGCCGTTGCACCTTGCTGTTCCCTTTAACGTCCAAGGCTACACCTTCTTACCCCAATTTATCCCCAGTAATAAACCCCCTGTCCACTTTGTCCAATGGAGCCAGCAGCTTTGCATAGTGGCTCAAATGTCTCAAGTAATCCTTGGAAGCATCACTGTCAAACACGTAAAGAGAAACCATTTCTGGCACTAAGCTAAGTGTGATCATGTTAAACATTTACTAAGCACCTACTGTATTTATTATGTGCCAGATCTAGAGCTCTGGAGGTATAAAGAAGAAGACCCACTCCCTGTTCTCAGGGAACTCATGGTATAGCCAGAACAGGGGACATGGAAAACAAATAACTGTGATGTCTTCACATTTGCAAAGCATGTCAGGGACTCACACACCTGTGTGTTGTGACCCTTACACCCAGCTGACACGTAGGGCAGGGTCATCATCCCCGTTTTTCAGATGAAGAAGCCAAAGCCCTCTAGAGAGGAAGTGACTCACCCAAGGCCACAAGGCTAGCATGGGACAGGGCTAACACTGGAAGCCCAGCCTCCCAGGAGCCAGCAGGGGCTCCCCAGGCCTCTTTTGCAGAAGCGTCCATTTTCACTCTTTTTTTAATTTCTTTTTAAATAGAGACGGAGTCCCACTATGTTGCCTAGGCTGGTCTCCTGGGCTCAAGCAATCCTCCCACCTTGGCTTCTCAAAGTTCTGGGATTACAGGCGTGATCCACCGCACCCGGCCCCATTCTCACTCTTGACTCCTCCCTTAGGCACCTATCCTAGCCCACAGAGCTATGACAGCTGGGACTACTCGGAACTAGACCCAGAGCGATTCCGCAGAGAAGAATTAATGTTGTACAGAAGAAGACTGACAAAGGGTAAGATAGCAGGTACAGCCTCCCGCCTTCTTTGCCACTGCCATACTCAACCACTATCTAACTGAGGGAGGAGAGGCCTTAGCATTGATGTCCTCAGGTCAAGTTCTCTCTCGGGTACCCCCAAATTAGCCACCAAAATTCTTCGTGCTTGTGGACTGTAGTGTACAACATAATTGTTGGGAGGCAGGGGATGGAATTTTGTATTGGAATAGTGGATGCCAGATAATGAGTGTCTACCTGTGTGCCATGCACTGTGCTGGGCTCTCTGCCTCTTTTTTTTTTTTTTTTTTTTTTTTTTGAGACAGTCTTGCTCTGTCACCCAGGCTGGAGTGCAGTGGTGTGATCTCGGCTTACTGCAACCTCCACCTCCCGGATTCAAGTGATTCTCCTGCCTCATCCTCCCAAGTAGCTGGGATCCCAGGCACCCACCACCACGCCCAGCTAATTTTTGTATTTTTAGTAGAGACAGGGTTTTGCCATGTTGGCCAGGCTGGTCTTGAACTCCTGACCTCAAATGATCTACCCACCTCGGCCTCCCAAAGTGCTGGGATTACAGACGTGAGCCACCATGCCTGGCCAGCCCATTTTATTTAATCCTCACGACAACCTGCTGAAGTACACACTAAATCCACTTCACGGATGAGGAAACTAAAGCTCAGAGAAGCAACTTGTCCAAGGTCAGCTTTTCTATTTCACTCAGCAGACCCATAATGAGTTCTGGGTGCCAGGCACTCTGCTCAGCACTGGGAACATGGTGGTGGAGGCAAGCCCAGTCCCTCTGTTGCAGGGCCAAGGAGCCCCAGAAATGGGGCTTCTGCCTGGAAAGGTTCATGGCTTTTTCCAGGAAGGAATTCAAGAATTCAAGGATGAGCTGGTGGTAGAACAAAGCAGCTCACCTTGACTGTTGCAGCTCTCTGACTGCTTCTGCAGAGCAGGGCTACCCCATAAGCAGTGTGTTGAGAAGAACAGCTCAGGGCCAGTTCTGCAGGCTCATTTAAACCCACTTTTAATTACAGGCAAATTAAGGGGCAGATTATTCAGAAATTTCTGGAAAAAGGGGTGGTAAATTCCAAGTCTGGTCATTGCTAGGGAATGGATAAACTGTCTTGATGCCTGGTGGGCATGTCTTAGGAAGCTAGTCTTCAATTAGGTCTGGAGTAGAGTTCCACCTCCAACCTCACCTCTTCATGATCTAGTGGGAAACTCAGGCCACACAATTGTCCTGCAGGGGATTGGGCACTGCAGTGGGGGGGATTCAGAGGGGTAAGGCAACAGCGGGAGGGGGACCCAGTCCAGCCTTGAGAAGGTCAGTACGTGGCGTTTGAGCTGAGATTTGAAGGGTGTGTTGGTCCAAGGACCTGCAGCATCAGCATCTCTCCAAATCAACTGACTCCGACTCTGCAGTTGATCAGGACTTCCAGTGATCTAGAAGCATGTTCCAGTTTGAGAAGCCCTGGTTTAGGGCACTAAGTAATAGAATACCTGAAACCCTTAGAGCAGAGCACGGTGGTGGTTATTAGCTGGAAATTATAAGCTGGCACTTATTCAGGGCCAGACACTTTTTGGTTTTTTGGAGTCTTGCTCTGTCGCCCAGGCTGGAGTGCAATGGCGCAATCTCAGCTCACTGCAACCTCCACCTCCCAGGTTCAAGCGATTCTCCTGCCTCAGCCTCCCGACATAGACACTTTTACCTGTTAGCTCTCTAAGCATTTCCATTTCCTGATCCCTTCATAGATACGATTTCCCTGTAGTCATCATGCACACTCAGGGAGTTTTTTTTTTTTTCTTGTTTTCTTTTCTTTTCTTTCTTTTTTTTTTTTTTGAGACAGAGTCTTTCTGTGTCACCCAGGCTGGAGTGCAGTGGCGTGATCTCGGCTCACAGCAACCTCTGCCTTCCAGGTTCAAGCGATTCTTGAGCCTCAGCCTCCCAAGTAGCTGGGATTACAGGCATGCTCCACCACACCAGCTAATTTTTGTATTTTTAGTACAAAAATACAGGGTGAGACAGGGTTTCACCATGTTGCCCAGGCTGGTCTCAAACTCCTGAGCTCAAGCAATCCACCCACCTTGGCCTCCCAAAGTGCTGGGATTATAGGCGTGAGCCACCATGCCCGGCCGACTCAGGGAGTTTTTTCAAAGTGAAGAAAAACCTAACCCATAAATTGCTTGAGTTTAATGACATTTTAATGAATATTAAATTTAACAGCTATGAGTTTGATAGATTGTTTCTTAAGCATTTAAGCATTTTAATTTTGCAGAGCTCTGAATTGGTTTTTCTTCTGAAACCAGTCCTTTTTTTCCTGTGGGTTGAGTGTCTGCCCTATGCACAGAGCTGTGCATACTTTTTTTTTCTTTTTTTTCTTGAGACGGAGTCTCATTATGTCACCCAGGCTGGAGTGCAGTGACGCAATCTCGGCTCACTGCAAGCTCCACCTCCCAGGATCACACTATTCTCCTGCCTCAGCCTCCCGAGTAGCTGGGACTACAGGCGCGCGCCACCATGCCCGGCTGATTTTTTGTATTTTTTTTTTTAGTAGAGACAGGGTTTCACCGTGTTAGCCAGGATGGTCTCGATCTCCTGACCTCGTGATCCGCCCGCCTCGGCCTCCCAAAGTGCTGGGATTACAGGCGTGAGCCACCGCGCCGGCCCTGTGCATACATTATTTCCTTTAATTGGTGCATTCACCCTAGAGGGAGATAGTGTTCACAGTCTAACAGGACCAGGGTTAGGTAACTTGCCCAGCAGGTGGAGTCAACAGAGAGACCCTAGATCTGGTGGGTGTCACTGTCTCCAGAAAGGAGGCTGTCTCAAGCTCCTGGGCTACAATCTTCATTGTCCCATGACAAGAGGAATTAATAACAGCTTTTCCCCTTCTATAGGGAGAGAGTTTTCTTTGTTTGCTGGTAAGAGAGCCTTCTCCCAGAAGCCAGCCCAGAGCAGGAAATTCTACCACCCTCAGGTAAGTGGGGAGGCACGGACCAGGACCCCTTTGGAGTCCCATAAGCTTCAGGAACCCTCGGTTCTTCTGGAGCATCAGTGGCCTCCGGTTAGTTGCACATCTCTGTACCCCTTGCCCAGGTCCACTCCATCTTCTAAGTGAGGAGCCCTGGGAGGCCTCCAGGTCTCCCATGGGTAAGTGGCTAAGTGGCATACTAAGGGGCATTCACAGAAATGCAGCGATTGAGAAGAGAGAGGGAAGGAACCAGGTTTTCAGTGTAGGCTGCAGTGCAAGATGCTTTTACTTATTTTTTTTTCTCCACTAATCCTCATGGCAAACCTGAAACCTAGCAGTCATCCCTGATACGTACTTTCTCCTCTGCCCTATTGATGTTCCTTCTGATGTACCTCCCAGAACCACCTGTTTCTCACTTTTCCACTCCCACCACCCTAGTTTGAGCTCCCATCACTACTGCAGTAGGCACCTAACTGGTCTCCCTCAGGTTCTCAGATACTTCTAGGGCCATCTTTTCAAAGTGCAAAGCTAAGTACATCATCCCATCACCACCTGACCCTATCCTATCCCCCGACCCTAAAAACCCTACTTCCAGGCCAGGCACAGTGACTCACGCCTATAATCCCAATACTTTGGGAGCCCAAGGCAGGCAGATCACTTGAGACCAGGAGTCCAAGACCAGTCTGGTCCACATGGTGAAACCTCGTCTCTACTAAAAATACAAAAATTAGCCAGGCTTGGTGCCATGCACCTGTAGTCCCAGCTACTCAGGAGGCTGAGGCACAAGAATTGCTTGAACCCGGGAGGCAGAGGTTGCAGAGAGCTGAGATCACACCACTGCACTGCAGCCTGGGTAACAGGGCAAGACTCTGTCTCAAAAATAAATAAATAAATAAATAAATAAGATCCTACTTCTAGCCAATAAAATGACACCCTCCACACCCCAGAATGCTTCCTCTGGCCTTTAGTAGACTGACTTGCACAGCCTTGCTCATCTGGCTCAACCCCTTCTCCAACCTCCTGGGCTCTCAGGGGTCCTGCCTCAGGGGACTTCTTTTATTTCCTTGTATACCACACTCCCTTTCTGTATGTGGCCTCTGTACCTCCTGTTCTTCTTGTCCCAGGTAAGCTCCTATCACCATTGCCATTGTCACTGTCAGCATTTCCTCCCAACCCCCAAGTCCAGAGACATTGATAGCATGCAGTTAACCAAATGCCACAAATAAAGGCTTTTTTTTTTTTTTTTCTGAAGAGCTGGAAAAAAAAATCCCAGGGCAGGGTTTAGCAAACTATGAATCAGACCTTTCACTGCCTGTTTTTGAAAATAAAGCTTTATTGGCACACAGCCATGGCCATTCATTTACTATTGTCTACAACTACCTTCACACTGAAACAGCAGAGTTGAGTACTTGCGATAGAGACTTTAGGACCTGCAAAGCCGAATATTTATCATCTGGCTTTTTGCAGAAAAAGTTTGCTAACCCCTGGTCTAGGAGATATATAGTCATCCTTCCATCTCAGTTCAGATTCTTGTAGGGAGGGAAAAAAACCTTTTATCTACCCTCTGAGGCAAAGTGTATGGAGCCCTACAAGTTAAACTGACAAAAGATAGACAGTTTAACAGGAGAAAGGCATTCAAATTTTATTTGATGTTAGTATTTTTACATGACACAGGACTTCATTGGAAGAAAGCGAAAACCTCAAGGAAGTGGCTAGGTCTGATAGTTCACATACCACCCTAACAAAGAGCAATTAATTGTGGAGATGTGACAAGACAAAGGAAAAGAGGTTTAGGCTTCTGGGGATGGTAAATTGTGGGAAGGTAAATATATGGGAGAAACTAATGGAAGATAAGGATTCTTTCAATAAGATTTCTATATGCAGATTCAAGGGGTGCCATCTCCAGTGATGAGTTGTCTCTTCTTCCTGGTACTGGAGATGGGAAGTGGGGACACCTTCACAAAGGAAAATTTATGCTCTGCTTTTAGATGGAAACTGGAATTGTAAAGAGATTTCCTGCATCTGCTGTTTTTCAATTGCCTTCAGCTCAAAATAATTCCTATGCAAAGTGGCCTATTTTGGGATGGCAGATTCTAACCCCCTTCACTCTCATCCTCAGGGTCAGCTTTCTGCCCCTCTGGGCTGGATGATGTTCCTTATTATACAGGCCAATGTCCCTTTCCTTCAGAGCACTCATGTAATTATTTGGTTATTACTCTGATCATGGCTGTTTCCCCTGCTAATCTTTTTTTTAATTGGTTTATTCTTTTAGAGACAGGGTCTCACTCTGTTGCCCAGGCCAGAGTGCTGTGGCGTCCTCCTGGATTCAAGTAATCCTACTGCCTCAACCTCCTGAGTAGCTGGAACATGTCACCATGAATTTTTAATAGAGAAGTCTTGCTATGTTGCCCAGGCTGGTCTTGAACTCCTAGCTCAAGCAATCCTCCTACTTTAGCCTCCTGAAGTGCTTCAATTATAGGTGAGCCACCAGGCCCAGCCTCCCCGCTAATCTTTAAACCCTAGGACAACATTCCCACTTCTAGTACCTGAATGCCCCATTTCTAATGACATGCTTCCTTAACAAATGGCATTGGAGGCTTAATTCATTAAGACAGCCTCCTCCGGCCGGGTGTGGAGGCTCACGCCTGTAATCCCAGCACTTTGGGAGTCCAAGGCAGGCGGATTACAAGGTCAGGAGATCGAGACCATCTTAGCTAACACGGTGAAACCCCATCTCTACTAAAAATACAAAAAATTAGCTGGGTGTGGTGGCACACACCTGTAGTCCCAGCTACTCGGGAGACTGAGGCAAGAGATTTGCTTTAACCCGGGAGGCGGAGGTTGCTGTGAGCTGAGATCGTGCCGCTGCACTCCAGCCTTGGTGACGGAGCAAGACTCTGTCTCAAAAAAAAAAAAAAAAAAAAAGTCTGTTCTCACAGGTTCAGATTCCATCTGTGTGGCCTTAGGCAAGTTATTTGACTTCCCTAAGACTTTGTTTCTATGGGTATAAAATAGATACAACAACCATGGTGCCTTCTTGCAGACATTCTGAAGACTGTGCGGCCCCACAGCTCAGAAGGGCACTCAGTGCTGCCTGGCCGCACCACTGTACTGCCCTAGCATGCCCAGATTCTCCCACCTTCGAAACACTTCCCCTGCAGCGTGTCCTTCCCCACCTGCCCTCCTCCCCAGCACCACCCAGGGAAGGTCTTCACTGAGAAATCACAAGCAGTCAGCAGGAAGGCCCGTGCCTTCCCACCACCAAGACAGCCTGCCCCCCTCTGCACCCTCGCCATCTGCCATCTCTGTGCCTATGGAGAGGTCCTGCTCCCCTCCCAGGTCAGTCCCCAGCCTGTGTTCTGAACCTTGGCCCTCAGCTTCCCAAGTAGAGATGCCCTTAGCGCCCCTCTTTCCTGCATCTTCATTTCCTCCCATTCTGTGGGGTCATTCCCATCACTGAACAGCCGTGCTTTCATCATCTCTTATCTTGACTCCACATCCCCATCTTTTGCTCCCTTTCACTCCAGAACTTATTATTTTTTTTTTTTTTTGAGATGGAGTTTCGCTCCTGTAGCCCAGGCTGGAGTGCAATGGCATGATCTTGGCTCACTGCAACCTCCACCTCCCAGGTTCAAGCGATTCTTCTGCCTCAGCCTCCCGAGTAGGTGGGATTACAGGCTTGCACCACCATGCCCAGCTAATTTTTTTTGTATTTTTAGTAGAGACGGGGTTTCACCATGTTGGCCAGGCTAGCCTCGAACTCCTGATCTCAGGCAATCCACCTGCCTCAGCCTCCCAAAGTGCTGGGATTACAGGCATGAGCCACATCCAGCCCAGAACTTCTTGAAAGATGCCTCTGTACCCCCATCTCTGCCTGGCTACTCCTGTCAGGTTCCTGCCCCCGGCAGCCACTGCAGCTGCTCTTGCCAACAGCGCGGGGACCCCACTGGCTTGGACTGAGTCACTCCTCTAACCTGTTTGGTGTGGTTGGCCACTCCCATCTTCTTGAGACGCTTTGTTCTCTTGGCTTCTTTGTTGCCAAACTTTTGACAGTGTTTTCCTTCCTCACTGGCTGACCCCTCTCCATCTTCTCTGCCAGCTCCCTGTCCTGTCAGTCTACTCTTTCCCAAGCCCCCTTCCTTACTGTATCTACATATTCTCCCTGGGTGGCCTCATTTGGTCTGGTAGCTTCAAATACCGCCCATACGCCAGTGACCCACCTTCGCCCTGGCCTCTCCCGGAACTCGTACTTGTCTATCCACCAGCCTTCTCAGCCACACCAGGAGGATTTGAGGAACCTCAATCCAGGTGAGGAAAGCACCTGACTCCTAACCCTCAGTGTCCTCTCTTGCCTGGCTGACTGCAGCAGCTGCCACCTGGGCTCCTTTCTTTTACTTGTAGCACCAACCCAGCCTCCACATAGTGACCAGAGTAACCTTTTACAGATATACATCAGATGGGGTTATTCCCTGCTTAAAACCTCCAATAACTTCTTCATTGCATTTGGAATAAAATCCAGTCTCGCTCACCTGACTTGCAGTGCCGTACAGAATCAGGCCCCCCCACTGCAGGTGCCTGGCACCCATGCCCTCCCACAGCACCAGGCACTGGACTTCCTTCTGCCTCTTGGACGTGCCAGGTCTATGCCTGGTTGGGCCTTTGCACTCGCTGTCCTCTTTGCCTGGAATCTGCTTTCCTCAGGGATCCAGAGGGGAAATCTGGTTCCTCCTTGTCCCTCAGATGCCAGGTTCACTGTCATTGCCCTAGAGAAGCTGTCCCTGACTGCCAGCCTCTGTCTTCCCATAACCTATCTCAATCTCTGTACAGTACTTATCTTCCTGTTGGGTTGATGTGTTGTTTAGAGTTTGTCTCCCTCTCTTAGAAGGTAAACTCTGTCCGGGCGCGATGGCTCAAGCCTGTAATCTTCAGCACTTTGGGAGGCCCAGGCAGGCGAATCACTTGAGGTCAGGAGTTCAAGACCAGTCTGGCCAACATGGTGAAACCCCATCTCTACTAAAAATACATAAATTAGTTGGGCGTGGCAGTGCGTGCCTATAATCCCAGCTACGGGGAGGCTGAGGCAGGATAATTGCTTGAACCAGGGGGCGGAGGTTGCAGTGAACCAAGATCGTGCCACTGCACTCCAGCCTGGGTAACATTTATTGCTGTTCTATCTCTTTTACCTCCTAGAACAGACCTAACACAAAGAAGACACTTAACAAATATTTCTGGACTTCGTGAATGAGGTCATCTATGTAAACTCTTGGCCCTGTGCTTAGCATATGACTGTGCTCTGTAAACGTCAGTTCCCAAAAAGTGCAGATGACATAGGTGCTGCAGAGGGACAGCCATCACCCAGAGACCAAGACCAAAATATTATTCAGTGTTTGGGTACTGCCTGTCACAATGGCTTGAAACAAGCGTGTGTTCTTTGTACTGAAATACATAAACTCTTCTGACAGTTATTTCAGGAACCTAGTTAAGAGATTCCATTTACTGCCCCCAAAATAGAAATAATCAAAAACTCTGGAACCTTGAGCACAGCTGAAGTTTTAATGGGCAAACCAGGATAGAGGGAGTAATTGGGTTTTGTGGTGGGGATAGAGCCTCTCTCATCAAGAGCAGACACGTTTTCCCATCTGCTCAATGAAAGAGCTGGCTGTGTTCAAAATATGCATTTCAATGGCAGTAGTCTGTCTGAGAGTCCACAATTCAGGGGAATGAGTTGCAATTACTTTCCATCTCTGGTCTCCTGTCTGCCCTTCTCTTGTTTAAGTGTTAGGGATTTGCACAGTGGAAATGCAAAAGTATCTAACCACAGAGCTGGCTTCTGCTATGAGACCCAGCTATAAATTAGGACACCCACCTATTAGAGACTGAGTCATTTGTTCATTTAATAAATATTTTTAAAGATAAAAAGTTTTAGGAAATGGAATCTGAGGGAGAAAATGATAGGGAGAGAGAAAACCAGGGAGATGAAAAGAGCAGCAGGCAGGATATTCTCTCCTGCGTCTCTTTGCACAGTAGCTCAACTCTGTGTCCCCCTTTCCCAGCTCCCCAGGTCCTAAACCTGGAGAAGTAGTATATAGTTGAGAGACCAGACTATCAAATTAGGCATGGACTAGAATCCTAGCTCTTAACCTGGCCAACATGGTGAAACCCTGTCTCTACTACAAACACAAAAATTAGATGGGCGTGGTGCCATGCACCTGTGGTCCCAGCTACTTGGGGGACTGAGGCATCTCTTGAACCCAGGAGGCAGAGGTTGCAGTGAGCTGAGATCGCACCCCTGCACTCCAGCCTGGGCAGTAGAGCGAGACCCTGTCTCAAAAAAAAGAATTCTAGCTCTCAGATGAGTCATTTCATCTCACTGAACCTCAGTTTTCTTATCAGTAAAATAGGTACCTAGAGAAATCAGTCACAATGTGGGCGTTAAATATGATCTTACATGCAAGCACTCAGCAAACAGCATAGCACAGAGTAAGAACTCAATAAACATTAGCTCTTAATCATATTATACAAGGGTGGTACCTAGAGAAACACAGCTGGAGATTAGGAAAAATGATGTCTTTGAGCCAGGAAGGCATACATTTCAGGGACTCCCAACATCCGTGAAACCCAGTTGTACACACCTTCCCCGTTATATATGTCAGGTGCAAACACATAGTATTAGGATCCTGAGCTTTGTCTCTGGGAAGATGATGAGATAGCTAGAAACTGCATTGTCAGGGTCCAAGGACATCCCTGGGCTGGGACCTTGGACCTAGATCCTTGCAGGGGGGAAAACAAACAAATTATATATATCATATATATTATAAATATATATTATATAATATATGTTATATATTATATATGATATATATTATATAATATATGTTATATATTATATATGATATATATTATATGTTATATATTATATATGATATATATTATATATGATATATAATATATGTTATAATATATGTTATATATTATATATTATATATATAATATATATACAGCATAGATATATATAATATAATATATATATATTATATATAATATATATACAGCATAGATATATAATATATAATATATATATTATATATATAATTATATATAATATATATATAATTATATATAATATATATATATAATTATATATAATATATTTACATATATATAATATATATATAAAAATATATTTCTTTGTAGAATTTTTGTAGTGCCAAAAAAAGACAGTGAAAGAAGGCCTCTGTAAGGAGGAATCATCACCAAAGTTCTCAGTTGCAAACTGTAGAATCCACTCTAGCTATTAAGCAGAAAGAAATGTATTAAAGGTGCACAGCTACCCTGGAAGAGTCTCCGTGTTAGCTTCAGAGGCCATGCTGCCAAGAATGATGGCCAAACCATACTGCCTCTGCCAAGGTGTGCTACTGTGTGCCAGTGTGACTGAGGACTGGATGTTAAAAGTTCTACTCTACTCCTTGAAAAACCAGTTGCTCCTGTCAACAGTCTCTCCAAAAACTGGAGTCCGCATACTTCCCATTTCCTCCCCATTGCTCATTTCCATCTTGAAATCTCAGGCAGGGGTGGTGCATCTGCAGGTAGAGCCTAGGTGAAATGTCTGCACCCCAGCTGCAACTTAAGTCTCTTACCTTGGGGATGGGTTTCACATATGTGGAGAAGAAAAAGCACACATGTAACAAGTAATGACCCCAGAAGATACCATTTGAGCTGAGAACCAAGAGATGAGGAGTCAGCCATTGGAAGAGTAAATGGCAGAACCTTCCAGGAAGAAGGGACAGCATGTGCAAAGGCCCTGAGGCGAAAAAAAAGAGCTCGAGTGTTCAGGAAACAGAGAAGGCCAATACTGTACCCCAGAGAGTGAGAAGAGAAGCACAAGCGAAGGCTGGGATGTTGGCAGGGCTGGATGCTGCAGAGTTGTAAGCATCATAGAAAGGAATATGAATATGGATATAATTGAAGTGCCATGATAATTCATTACATTAGGGATGACATGATGTGATTTATATTTTTTAAAGATCACACTGTCTTTTGAATATGGAGGATGTATTGGAGGGGCACAGAAGACCAGCTGGGAGGCTTCCGTATTTGTCTAAATGACAAATATGGAAGGTGGCAAGAAGCAGACAGACCTGACGCATTGGGAGATGGATCTTTCAACACTTGCTAGTGGGTTGGCTTTGGGAGTGGGGAGGAGAAGTGGGGGAAGAAAGGACGGAGTTGAAGGTTGCTTCCCAGGTGTGCGGCTTCAGCATCTGAATGGTGCCATTTACTGAGATGGACAGCGTAGGGTTTGGGTTAGTGGAAAGCTATCAAGAGTTCAACTTTGAACTTGTTAACTTTAAGATGCCTATGAAAAGTGCAAATGAAGATAGATGCCAAGTGGGTAAATATACAAGACTGGACTTTGGAGGAGAGACCTGGCTTACAGAGAGAACAATTTCTACCCAAGCCAAAATATGGGAACTAGGAGTGCACGACTACAGTGGAACCACGGGCAAAGGCACTGGGGTACAGTGCTGGCCTTTCTGGGCTTGGTGCCAGGAGACCTACATTTCCATCTAAGTGATGCACCTATCAGTTACATTGCTTGAGGCAAATCTAGGCCTCAATGTTTTTATCCACAAAATGGGCATCGCGACTGGTATTGATTCTTATAGATTCAATCTAGGGGTAGGTGATGTCCCAGAGATTGTCGTTTAGTTATGTCTTGTCAGAATACCTACTAATTTAACCAGAATTTTCCCAAGTTCAACAGCATAGATATAGTCAGTGTCCTTAACAATAAGGACTCAAGATTTTTGCAGCTCTTGCCCATACCTGCTAATTCCAGGTCTGCGCAGCTCCCTCCGCACCCAGACATTTCTAGGCATCCCTAGATTGTATCTCATAGTAGCTCAAATTTAGGCTCCCCAACCCCCAACTCTGTACAATAACAACTGAGCCCTCAGCGTGCTGAATCTGAGCAGCTGGGTGGCCAGGTGGGCTGGAACACTTCCATCTCCTCTATGCTGGGATGGGACAGGGGGTCTCAGAACAGTCTTGGTTTACCCCCAACCCTTATGGTAGTCACCTTGCCTCATACACCCCTGGGGTGGTGGCTGGTCACAACATCGGGGAATGGATAGGAAAGATTTTTTTTTTCTTTTTTCGAGACGGAGTCTTGCCCTGTCACCCAGGCTGGAGTGCAATGGCACAATCTCGGCTCACTGCAACCTCTGCCTCCCGGGTTCCAATGATTCTCCTACTTCAGCCTCCCAAGTAGCTGGGGTTACAGGTGCCTGCCACCACTCCCCGCTAATTTTTGTATTTTTAGTAGAGACAGGGTTTCACCATATTGGCCAGGCTGGTCTCAAACTCCTGACCTCGTGATTGGCCCTCCCCAGCCTCCCAAAGTGCCAGGATTGCAGGCGTGAGCCACCGCGCCGGCCCAGGAAAGTACTTTCTAAGTGGAAGGACGTGGTCTCTATGGGGAGTCTACCATGTTCAGGTTTTCTTTTGTTATTGTTTATTTTTGAGATGCAGTTTCGCTCTTGTTGCAATAGCGTGATCTCAGCTCACTGCAACCTCCACCTCCCATGTTCGGGTTTTCTTTGCATATATCCTCTCTAGTCCTTACAACAGCCCTGCAAGGTGGGTCATTATTACTTCTTATCTTTATTTGACAAAGCAGGTAATAGACTGGGGATAAATGGCTTGCCCCAGGCCACACAGCTGACCTCAGCTGATGTCAGGACACTGTCAGTCTGAGCTCTCTCTGCATCAGCAAGCTGCCTCTCCAGCAAGTAAGAGGGTCTAGTCACTGAAACCCAAGCGAATACCCCCGCATTGTTCTCTGCTCCACCGCAGAACTCTCTGAGGCCTGTTAAGAATGAGCCTTGCCAGGTTGCCAGGAGTGGTGGCTCAGGCCTGTAATCCTAACATTTTGGGGGACTAACGTGGGAGGATGGCTTGAGCCCAGGAGTTTGAGACCAGCCTGGGCAACATGGTGAGACTCCCTGTCTCTACCAAAAAAAAAATTTTTTTTTAAATTAGCCAGGTGTGGTGGTACATGCCTGTGGACCCAGCTGCATTGCACCACTGCACTCCAGCCTGGGTGACAGAGTAAAGACACTGTCTCTTAAAAACAAACAAAAAATGGCCGGGCCCAGTGGCTCACACCTGTAATCCCAGCACTTTGGGAGGCCAAGGTGGGCAGATCACCTGAGGTCAGGAGTTCGAGACCAGCCTGGCCAATAAGGCGAAACCCTGTCTTTACTAAAAATACAAAAACCTACCCAAGCGTGGTGGCGGGCGCCCGTAGTCCCAGCTACTCAAGAGGCTGAGGCGGGAGAATCACTTGAACCTGAGAAGCGGAGGTTGCAGTGAGCTGAGATCGCGCCCTTGCACTCCAGCCTGGGCAACAAGAGTGAAACTCCACCTCAAACAAAAAAAAAAAGAAAGAAAAGAAAAAGAATGAGCATTGATGCTTCATTGAGCCCTGGGAGTGTTTTCCCTGCAACCACCTCAACACTATAAAAACCAGTAGCTGTTGGACAGCCAGCTGCACGATGTCTGGGAAGTCCTTTCGGCTTTCTCCTGCCCATTCAAATATCCCATTTCTATAAAAGCAAACGGTTGTTGTTGAGGCTGGTGGACTGCTTGTCTGCCACTTGGTGGGCCATCTGTTTAACATTGCCAACCTCCTACTCATCCTAAAAGACAGAATGCAAATGTCTTCTCTCCTTGGAAGCCCTCCAGCTCTCGCCCAGACGAATCCAGCGTTCTTCGCTCTAGCTTCCCATGATACTCTCCTCATACCACTTGCGGCCAACTATGAGTTGTTTCCCAATATCTGTTGTCCCCTTCACCTGTGAAAACAAAACCTCCAATTTTTTGCTGGGCATGTACCTGGCTGAAATAAAGATTGTATTTCCTAGCCTCCCCTACCGCTACGTGTGGCCACGTGACTAAGATCCAGTTAATGAGATGTAAGTGGATGTGTCGTGTGGCAGTTTCTGGAAACCTTCCTTAAAAAACAGCTTTATCTCTTTGTCCTTTCCTCCCTCCTGCTGCCTGTAATGCGAATATGATGGCAGGAGCTCCAGATGCCTCCTTGGACCCTAAGAACAAGGATCTTGGCTGGGTGCAGTGGCTCATGCCTGTAATCCCAGCTCTTTGAGAGGCCAAGTTGGGCAGATCACCTGAGGTTGGGAGTTCAAGACCAGCCTGGCCAACATGGTGAAACCTTGTCTCCTAAAAATACAAAATTAGCTGGGTGTGGTGGCACACACCTGTAATCCCAGCTACTCGGGGAGCTGAGGCAGGAGTATCACTTGAACCCGGGAGGTGGAGGTTGCAGTGAGCCAAGATCACGCCATTGTACTCCACCCTGAGTAACGAGCAAAACTCCATCTCAAAAAAAAAAAAAAAAAAAAAGGAACAAGGGTCTTATTTTATCTTATGAAAGCTGGAACCGTGTGCTGGAAGAAGTCAGAATCTATCCTGGCACGGTGGCTCATGCCTGTAATCCCAGCACTTTGGGAGGCCGAGGCAGGTGGATCACTTGAGGTCAAGAGTTCGAGACCAACCTGACCATCATGGTGAAACCCCATCTCTAATAAAAGAACAAAAATTAGCTGGGCGTGGTGGCGGACACCTGTAATCCTAGCTACTCGGGAGGCTGAGGTAAGAGAATTGCTTGAACCCGGGAGGCAAAGGTTGCAGTGAGCCGAGATCGTGCCATTGCACTCCAGCCTAGGCAACGGAGCAAGATTCCGTCTCAAAAAAAAAAAGAATCCCTGAGGACTTAGCACCACCAGTGCTTAGAAACACCATATGAACCCAGGCTTGCCCGCCTTCAGACTTTTATGTGGGAGAGAAATGTATTTATATTTACTTATTTAAAGACAGGGTTTGCTCTGTCACCCAGGCTAGAGTACAGCAGCACAGTCATGGCTCACTGCAGCCTCAACCTTCCAGGCTCAAGCAATCCTCCCACCTCAGCCTCCCAAGTAGCTGGGACTACAGGTGCACACCAGCGTGCTTGGCTAATTTTTTTTTTTTTTTTTTTTTTTGTAGAGAAAAGGTCTCACTATGTTGCCCAGGATGGTGGGAGAGAAATTTCTACCTAGTTTGAGCCACTGTTATTTTGAGTCTCTGTCACATTCAAACATAATCCTAACTTCTATTGCCTCTCTATAACAAATCGGGGATGCTTTCCACACTTAAGTATAACTGTCTATTTCCTGTTATCTCCCCTGCTAGACTGGAAGCTCCTCAAGCCAGGGGCTCAGTTTCAGTGTTTGCCCAGTGCAAACACATTAGTAGTTGCCCAGTGAAACATTTGCTGAAAAAGGTGATTGCATAAAGGGTGACAGCAATGTTTTTGAAGCACTCACCTTGAGCACTCGTGTAATTTGCATGCATTTGCTGACTTAATCCTACAAGGAAACCAAGGCGGTAAAGAGGTTTGATGACTTGCCCCAGATCACTGGCTGTTGAGTGAGAGAATTGGGACTGGAACCCTGGTTGCCCTGGGTCCCCAGCCCATGTGTTCTCCACATCAGCCACTGCTGTCTGCCATGCTCCTGGGAGGACCTGAAAGGTCTCGTTCTGCATGTTCCTTTGCTGAGAACAGTAAGAAATAGCAAAGAAATTGCATGTATTACTTTTTTGTATTTCTCTCACTGCCAATTTTATTTTGTTCTCTCTCTCTCGCTTTCTCCCTCTCTTTCTCTCTCTTGTCTCCTGAAGTCTTCTAGTGCAAATTCACCCAGTGAAAAAACCTCTTCGGCCAAGCAGAACTCAGAAAAAAGCTTACGAATGCAGAATACTGCAAAAGGTATATTGACTACCAAAAAGGGAAATGTAGGCTTTTGGCTTAGTTATTGTCTCCAAAACCCTGGTTTCTTGGGTTCGTATGAACAGAATTTGCTGACCTACTTTATACTTGGGGTTCCAGCCTGGGCCTTGGCACCAAGTAATATTTTATGAAAGGATGTAGTTGTCTTTTCAGTTCAATAAGCATTGATTTTTTTTTTTTTTTTTTTTTTTGAGATGAAGTCTCACTCTGTCGCCCAGGCTGGAGTGCAGTGGCACAATCTCAGCTCACTGCAGCCTCCGCCTCCCAGGTTCAAGCGATTCTCCTGCCTCAACCTCCCAAGTAGCTGGGACTACAGGCGTGCGCTACCACGCCTGGCTAATTTTTGTATTTTTAGTAGAGACGCGGTTTCACCATGTTGGCCAGGCTGGTCTCGAACTCCTGACCTCATGATCCTCCCGCCTCGGCCTCTCAAAGTGCTGGGATGACAGGCGTGAGCCACCTCGCCCAGCCTAAGCACTGATTAAGTTCCACTTTTGTGGTGATGAGGTCAGCACAGTGCTGTTATCTGTGGGGAAGAGAGGTTACTGACACCAGAAGAAAATAAATTTAAGACATGATGACTGCTCCTGTCCCCCACCAGAAACCAGTAATTACTAAGGTTGGAACTAATTTGCACCCAGGTCTTAATTTATATTGGTGACTGTGATAGTACAGAGAGGTCAGTGCCATTGAAAGAAAAGTTTCATGTTACTTGCAATTCCCCTGGCAATTCGCCCTGGAAATCATGAGTAATGTTAAACTCAGCACACCATGCAGGGCCACAGCGGGAAGCACCAGTGCTGGCCAGGAGGCAGAAAGGAGCATGGGGAAGGGACAGGCCACACTCTTTTTTGAAGTTTCTCAGCAGGAAAGACAAAGCAAGGCATGGTAACCAGTTTAGGATTAGTTGCGTACATTACAGTGTAATCCCAACACTTTGGGAGGCTGAGGCAGTAGGATTGCTTGAGCCCAGAAGTTCAAGACCAGCCTGAGTAACATAGCAAGACCCTGTCTTTACAAAAAAAATTTTTAAATTAGCTGGACACCATGGTGCACATCTGTAGTCTGAGCTACTCAGGAGGTTGAGGTGGGAGGATCACTTGAGTCCAGGAGGTTGAGGCTACAGTGAGTCATGATTGAGCCACTGCACTCAAGCCTGGGTGACAGTGAGACCCTGTCTCAAAAAAAAATAAAAGTTTAGAATTGGCTGGATTGGATAATTCCAATGGGCTCTGGGGCATAGGGGCTGTCCCTAGTTGGCTTGGTGTGTGAGTTAGATATAAGAGTTGGTTCAAAGTGTGGCCTCTGGATTGTAGGAGAGGTATGTTAGCAATTTTGTCTGTTAGTCTAGCCCTGGTAATGAATGGATGGCAAATAGACAAATACGGAATATAAGAAAACACAGAACATGAACTGTTAAGTATCATCCTAGGTAATTTCACATCATTATTGTTATTTAAACTTTATTATTTTTTTGAGGGAGAAATGGAGGCTCAGAGAAGTTAGTATGCGAATTATGTCCCAGTAAAACTTTTAAAGAAAAAGCTTGGGGACCACTGATCAAGAGGTTTAGCCAGGGCTCTAAATAGAGGTAAATATTTGTAGGAAACTTTGCAAGTCCCCCAGAGCTTACATATATATTCAATTCACAAAGACCCATGTATCAAAGAGGAGTTGCCAAGGGAAATTAGAAAATATTTGAACTGAATGAAATGAGACCTTCTTTTCTAATATGAGCATTTATTTAAGGCTAGAGACTTCCCTCTAAACACTGCTTTAGCGGGGCACAGTGGCTCATGCCTGTAATCTCAGCACTGTGGGAGGCCAAGGTGGGCAGATCACTTGAGTCCAGGAGTTTGAGACCAGCTTGGTCAACATGGCGAAACCCCGTTTCTACTAAAACTACAAAATTTAACTGGGTGCGGTGGCACACACCTGTAATTCCAGCTACTCAGGAGGCTGAGGCACGAGAATTGCTTGAACCTAATGGTCATTTTCTTGCTAATGTCACATTGACAGAGCATCATTGTCAGACCCTGGTCTTGAAGAAACCTACGCAAGAAGTCAAGAGGATATCAGAAGCAAGAGAATGTGAGAATATGTTTCCTAAAAAGGTGAGCACATGATTGGAAATTTAATAGTAAAGGTGATTCCAAAGGGGGTGAGAGGTGTGGTAAGAAAATGATAATTAACATTTAATGAATATTTACTATATGCCAGGTACTATGCCAAACCTTATGCAAACAGTGCATTTTCTTCTACTGTCACAGTCCTCTGAGATAGTTACCATTGTTATTCTCCAGTTTATTAATGAGCAAAGTGATGCTGGGAGCAGGTACCCAATTTGTCAAATATCATAAAGCAAATAAGTGATACTAAAAGTAAAAAAATGAATAACAATAATAAAAAAATAAAGGCTGGATGCAGTGGTTCATGCCTGTAATCCCAGCACTTTGGGAGGCCGACGCAGGTGGATCACTTGAGGTCAGGAGTTTGAGACCAGTCTGGCCAACATGGTGAAACCCTGTCTCTACTAAAAAATACAAAAATTAGCTGGGCACGGTGGCGTGCCTATAATCCCAGCCACTTGGGAGGCTGAGGCAGGAGAATCGCTTGAACCTGGGAGGCGGATGTTGCAGTGAGCTAAGATCGCGCCACTGCACTCCAGCCTGGGCAACAGAGTCTGACTCCGTCTCAAAAAAAATAAATAAAAAAATAAAAAGCAAATAAGTGATAAAACCAAGATTTGCATGCAGATCTGCCTGGCTCTGAGCCTGAGCTCTCAACCACTGAGCTTTCCCTCTAGTGCAGTGCCCAGCACAGGAAAGTCACTAGCATCATTCTCTCCTCCTCCCCTTCCCCACAAACCTCAGTGGATGGTAGTTTATATCAATAGGAACTTCAGTCTTGTGTAGTGGGACCAGAACAGGGTGAGAGGTTTGGGAGCTTCCCCAGGCACCAGCTAGCAAGGGAGTCGGCCATAGAATTTGGGCCAAGTACCACAAGGAATGTAGATTTCTTGTTTTTTTGTTTTTGTTTTTTTGAGACAGTCTCAGTCTGTCACCCAGGCTGGAGTGCAGTGGTGCCGTCTCAGCTCACTGTAACCTCCACCTCCTGGGTTCAAGTGATTCTCGTGTCTCAGCCTCCCCAGTAGCTGGGACTACAGGCGTGTGCCACCACACCCGGCTAATTTTTGTATTTTTAATAGAGACGGGGTTTCACCATGTTGGCCAGGCTGGTCTCGAACTCGCGATCTCAGGTGATCCGCCCCCTTCGGCCTCCCAAAGTGCTGGGATTACAGGCATGAGCCACCACCCCTGGGCTAATCTTTTGACTTTAATCGTGGTGTTTTACCTTAGAAGTTTTTAATTATTATAGTCATATTTAGTAGTCTCTTATGGCTTTTAGATTTCATTTGTTGCTAAGCATTTTACCATTCTAAGATTATATAAAACATCTTCCCCAATTTTTTCCCAATATTTTATATTATTACCTATTCTCAATAAAATCTTTACTCACATAACCCCCCAGTATCACCAGGGGTCACTCTATTCCTTGGAATTTAGCTAAAAATTGGCTTAAGCATTTGTTATCTAATTTGTTTGAAGTCTAGTACCCTCTCAAATATGTTTGTGACCTCTGGGGGCCTGATGTTTTCCTGGCACTAAGCTCCTTGTCTGTCCTGCATACACTATGCACATACTAACTGCATCAGCCCGAATGTGGAACTCTTCTGATTTTTACAAAAACCACTCACAGAAGGCCTCTGTGTGCATGTATTTGTGTATATGGAAGAATGGAAGACTTTACTGAAGTTTAAAGAGATGAGGAGAGGGGTGCCCATACCACAGGAATGCAAATAATTTTTTTTTTTTTTTTTGAGACGGAGTCTCACTCTGTTGCCCAGGCTGGAGTGCAGTGGTGCGATCTTGGCTCACTGCAACTTCTACCTCCTGGGTTCAAGCTATTCTCCTGCCTCAGCCTCCCAAGTAGTTGGGATTACAGGTGTGTGCCACCACGCCCAGCTAATTTTTGTATCTTTAGTAGAGATGGGGTTTTGCCGTGTTGGTCAGGCGGGTCTCAAACTCCTAACCTCAAATGATCAGCCCACCTTGGCCTCCCAAAGGGATTACAGGCGTGAGCCACTGCTCCCAGCCCACAGTAATGCAAATAATTTTAAAATTAATATTAGTTGGCTGGGTATGGTGGCTCACACCTGTAATCCAAACACTTTGGGAGGTCGAGGTGGGCAGATCACCTAAGGTCAGGAGTTCGAGACCAGCCTTGCCAACATGGCGAAACCCCACCTCTACTAAAAATACAAAAATTATCCAGGCATGGTGGCAGGTGCCTGTAATCCCAGCTACTCGGGAGGCTGAGGCAGGAGAATTGCTTGAACCCAGGAGGCGGAGGTTGCAGTGAGCAGAGATTGCGTCACTGCACTCCAGCCTGGGCGACAGAGTGAGACTCCATCTCAAAAACAACAACAACAACAACAAAAAGCAAAACTTCAAGCCCAAATGCAGTAGAGGCCAGATCTCCCCCTCAAAAACACACCAGAGTCAGGGGCTGTTAGGAAAGGGGAAGGACGCTGGGTTGCCAAAGAATCACCCTCAGAGAAACCTTGCACTGCATTAGTGGATCCCAGATGCTGGACTTTCGTAGGCTTTGAAAAAAAATTTATTTTTTTACTAAGTAAATTCATTAAAACAAAATGACTGCTGTCTGTCGTCAGTAGCATTTTATAAAAGAAAGTCATTAATATCACAAATGAAAAAATTTAAAAAGGTCTTTGAAGTGAATCAATTTACTTAGAGTCGTGTAGATTTTTCCTTGTTTCACTCATTTCCCTGGTGACCACTGGACACAGCATGGCCTCCATTAGGAGACAGCATGTCAGAATCACTGGACCAAATGATCTATAAATTCCCTGCTAACTCCAGGTTTCTGTGATTCCAGTGGTATCTTGCTGTTAGAATAGTGGTTCTCAACTGGGGCAATTTTGTCCTCTGGGAGACATTTGGCCAGCTCTGAAGACATTTCTAGTTGTTAGAACTGGGGGCAGGGGGACATTGGGGGAGGCCAGGGATGCTCCTCAGCATCCTACAGTGCACAGGAGAGCCTCCCACAACAAAGAAATATCCAGCCCCAAATGTCAGTAGTGCTGAAGTTGAGAAACCTTGCTGGAGACAGAAGAAATCCCATTAGACAATTAATTAAATGCAACCCTATCCCATTAGAACAGGATTAGAAAATAGTGTGATTGGGTACTGCTGCAGCCTTTATTTGTGAAGTGGAATTTTTGTTCCATTAAGGTATAACTGCTTCTTCAAAATAAAATGTATTTTTTTTTAAACACAAAAGCAGTATTGTCATTTTTGGAAAAAGGCAGAAGAAAACAAACCATTCTTGGCCCCAGCCTGTTCTCTTTCTGATCTGTTTCCTCCTGGCTGTCTATTAGCATCTCAAATAGCATCCAAAACGGGACTTGACTTTCCCACCGCCCCAGCCTGTTCCTCCCCAGATTGTCCCACCTGAGCAGCTGACACCCAAGTCCTCTGAGCCGCCCTAGACTCTTCTCTTTCTCACACCTACGTAGAGTTGAGTCCATCAGCAAATCTTGCCAGTTCTCCTTTATCATATGTTGTAAATTTGCTCACTTCTCACCCCTTGTCTGCAATCACCAAGTCCTGGGCCCCATCAGCAATTCCCCAACTCCTGCAGGGGCCTCCTGACTGCTCTTCTGCACCCATTCTTACCCTCACAGTCATTTCTCCTCCCATCAGTCAAAGAGACCTTAACAGATTACTCAGATTATATTGTACCCCAGCTCAGAATCTGCCAGTGGCTTCCATGACCCTTAGAAAAATATCCCAGCTCCTCACCATGACCACAGCACCTGCTCCCTCTGCACCCGCCCCCACCCCTGTGAGCCACCTCATTTCTGCCCCTCAGCCACACCAAGCACATATCAGTGGCTGGATCTGTTGCACCTGCTGTCCTCTTAGCCAGGAACAACTCCTGATAGACCTTCCCATGGCTCCCTTCCCCACAGCATTCAGGATCCCTGGGGTCTCACCTCCTCACAGCCTTCCCTGATCACGCCATGGAACCCCAGTCCTCTCCTCCCTACCACTCTCCATACCCTGGCCTGATTGATCTTATTAGTATTCATCATATCATGTTATTCCTTTATTTGTTGATTTTTTTCATTGTTTTCTTCCAACTGTAATGTAAACTCCATAAGGGCTGGAATTTGTCTTGTTCTCTGCTGAATCTCCAGCACCTAAAATAGTATTTATACATAGTAATCACTCAATACATATTTGCTGAATGAATTATTAACGTTTTGGTAAGAGCCTTCCAGTCTCTCATCTATCTGTTTTTTACTAAATAATTTTCTTTTTTTTTTTTTTTGAGACGGAGTCTCACTCTGTCGCCAGGCTGGAGCGCAATGGTGCAATCTCGGCTCACTGCAACCTCCGCCTCCCAGATTCAAGTGATTCTCCTGCCTCAGCCTCCTGAGTAGCTGGGACTACAGGCGCATGCCACCAAGCCCAGCTAATTTTTGTATTTTTAGTAGAGACAGGGTTTTACCATGTTGGCTAGGATGGTCTCAATCTCTTGATCTTGCGATCTGCTTCGGCCTCCCAAAGTGCTGGGATTACAGGTGTGAGCTACCGCACCTGGCTTTTACTAAATTATTTTCTATAAAATATATAACACTATCGGCTGGGCATGATGGCTCATGCCTATAATCCAAGCACTTTGGGAGGCCAAGGCGGGCAGATTACCTGAGGTCAGGAGTTTGAGACCAGCCTGGCCAACGTGGTGAAACCCTGTCTCTACTAAAAATACAAAAATTAGCTGGGCATGGTGGCTGGTGGGCCCCTGTAATCCCAGCTACTCGGGAGGCTGAGATAGGAGAATTGCTTGAATCTAGGAGATGGAGGTTGCAGTGAGCTGAGATTGTGCCACTGCACTCCAGCCTGGGCGATAGATTGAGACCCAAGTCTCAAAAATAAAATAAAATTATATATATATATATATACATACATACACATACACACACACATATAAAAAACACTATCAAACTTTGCATCTCAGTATTTAAAAATTTACTATTATACCTGAAACCTTTTTTAGGTTATCAACTCTTCATAAACATTTTAATAGTGACATACCATTCCTTTGGGTAAAGAGATCAATGTCTTCTTGAACATTTAAGTTATTCTCATATTTTGCTATGTATAGTAAACATCTCTGCAGTGGACATCTTTGCCCCTTGACCTTTTTTTGCTTTATTTTGAGTAATTTTCTTAGGGTGCATCCTAAAACTGGAATTACTGGATCAAAGGACATGAGTGCTTTGATGCCTTTCTGGTTCTTAATACAGACTGTAAAAATGACAATATCCTTTATTTTTCCTTTTTCTTTCATCCTTAGTCGTGTGCTGCCTGCAAAAGCCCTGAGCTGACTTCAAACCTCTTCAACATTTATGGGAAGAGCCCTCTGATTGTGTACTTTCTCCAGAACTATGCCAGTCTGCAGCAGCACGGCAAGAATGTGTTGATAGTCAGAAGGGAAAAGACCACGAGCACCCCATATCCTTGTCACTGTGGGCAGGGTGCGCACTGCTCCAGGCCCCCGCGTCCTCTTCCCAGAAGCAAAGGTCAGGGAATGGCACCCAGGCCTTAGCACAGCGCCTGGCACACCATGTGTACTCGCCAGAGGTGGCCAGTGGTGCGAGCCTCAGGGTCAGAATCGTGCTCATCTTAGTTCCAAATCTAGAGCCAGCCTCGTGAACTGGCCATGAGACCCCAGGGTGTGTCAAATTTCCTTGTGTGCAAAATCTGTTTTCCACCTACCAGAATGAATGTGCTAACTTGGTATTCTAACATATATTGAAACTAAATAGTGCTTCCCAGACACTCGTTGACCCCAGAGTATGTACTGACCAGGAATTTTGTTGTCCACATGTATGTTTCATCTAACACCCTCCTCAGACACATTCCTCCCTTAGACCCATCAGCATATTCCTGGCCCTGTTGCCATTTATCCTAAAGATCTAATAGAAAGCTCAGATCTCAAGAGAACAGGTGTGGTTGGCCAGGCGTGGTAGCTCACGCCTGTAATCCCAGCACTGTGAGAGCCGAGATGAGCGGATCATCTGAGGTAAGGAGTTTGAGACCAGCCTGGCCAACATGGTGAAACCCCGTCTCTACTAAAAATACAAAAAAAATTAGCTGGGCCTGGTGGTGCGTGCCTGTATAATCGCAGCTACTTGGGAGGCTGAGGCAGGAGAATCGCTTGAACCCAGGAGGCGGAGGTTGCAGTGACCCGAGATCACGCCATTGCACTGCAGCCTGGGCAGCAAGAGTAAAACTCCATCTCAAAAAAAAAAAAAAAAGAAAGAAAACAAGTGTGGCCTATATTGGTGTCCTGAGTCTTAGCAGCTTACCATAGGAGTCAGAGAACACGGGTTCTATTTGGAATCAAACTGGTCTATTGGTTCAAACACACCTGGACTCAGGAACCAACTCTACTGCAAACCGAGTGATTTGAGATAAGTTCCAGCTTCTCTCTGTGCCTCATTTTTTTCACCTGTAAAATAGGGATAAGAGTACCTGCCTCATAGGGCTATTATGCAGATTACAGACACAACAGAGATAAAGGCTAGTGCCTGGCAGATAACAAGGGCTGGGATGATCCACGTCTACATTGAGCTCCCCAACAGGAGGAGTTTCGTAATGAACTAGGAGGACTTTGCGTCTTCTGCACAGAACTGCATGTCCGCAAACTTATTTACATGTTCTATAGGGAGAGAGTAATAACAACAACTCACATTTCATAGTGTTTTATTTCTTGCAACATGTTTTCCCAAACATCACTTCATTGTTCTCTAAAGACAGTTTAGTGTAGTGGAAGGAACCTGGGTTGGGATATGCAGCCCTAGATTTGAGTCCCAGTTTAGCAACCACTGGCTTTGAGATCTTATGTGCACAGCTCGACCTCCAAGCTCAATATCTTTATCTACTCATTCCTAAAATTTGGATAGTTATACCAAACTTACAGTGTTGTGATGAGGATTAAATGGCATACAGCTGATACTACATAAATAACTACCAGGATTATGATTAACATCATCTAAAGTGGGCATTATTATCTCTGTTTTACAGATATGGAAATGGAGGCACAGAGGATGACTGCTATCTTGTCTGAGGTCCCACAGCTTGTGGCGAGTGTAGCTGAGATTCTAACCAATCAAGAAGGGGTGGAAGGAGGGCAGAGCAGAGGGAGAATTTTCTTTTTTTTTTTTTTTTTTGAGACAGAGTCTCACTCTGTTGCCTAGGCTGGAGTGCAGTGGCGCGATTTCGGCTCACCGCAACTTCCGCCTCCTGGGTTCAAGCGATTCTCCTGCCTCAGCCTCCCAAGTAGCTGGGATTACAGGCATGTGCCACCATGCCCAGCTAATTTTTTGTATTTTTAGTACAGATGGGATTTCACAGTGTTAGCCAGGATGGTCTCAATCTCCTAACCTCGTGATCCGCCTGCCTTGGCCTCCCAAAGTGCTGGGATTACACCGCGCCTGGCCAAGAATATTTTTATATACAAACGAGATGGAGAATGAGGCCTTGGGCTGAGAGAAAAGGAAAGCTGGGAGCCCTTCCTATTCACCGCTGTGATAATAGAATAAGAATTTCAGATGACAGTCTAAAAAAGTATTTCTTAGCCCTGCCTTCCATCCACAGGGGCAGAGAAGGACTTTATTCCTACGTAGAGAACGCCTGGCCACGGATAGGATGGCCTCTTCCCTCCAAAGCAGGCCATGGTCAAAGAGCAGGAGAGTCATCTCTTGCTCAGATTTCAGGTATCTTATCCAGAAACGCAGGGCATTTTCCCTGTTCTGTCCTCCATGCCCCTCTTCCCCATGCACTGCGCTCATGCCACTAATAATGCAGCGTCAACACAGTTCCACAGTACGGGGATTTCCTTGACAGCGGAAGCCACTGACTGCACCCCAACGTATACTGATGTCATCAGCGAGACCCTGTGCAGCATGAAGAAGCGGAAAGACAACCTCAATCAGTTGTACCAGCATCATTGGACTGAATGGAATTATTTTGACAAGCATCTAAAGGAGCTGCAAGACAACTTCTCCAGGTATGGAAGGGGCTTTGGGGAATGCCGTTGTTCCGCACTTATCTTTTGCAGCACACGATCATCATCATTTTTAAATGGGTTGGTGGGGCAGGGGGGTTTCCTGTAACCATCATAAGCATAATCAGCTTTCTTGTGGTCAGATTATAAACTCCTAATAACAGAGACCAGAGCTTTTTTTGTTGTTATTTTTTTTTTCTAACTACAAAAACATTATGTGTTCAATGAAAGCAAACAAAGGACCCGGAAACCACATAAAAGTACCAAGAGATACACATTGCCAACATTTTCCTATAAATCCTTCCAGTCTTTTTTTTCTGGGCCCATATATCCGTATCACTAAATAAAGTAGTGTAGAGTCATACTGTTGGTCTGTTTTTTAGACCTATTTTTTCCCACTAGCAGCATATTATGGACATTTTCCTCTGTCTTCTGCCTTTTTCAGAAATTTTATTTTACTTAGAAAAACCTTTCAGAAAGTTGATAGTACACTGAACTGTCCATCAGGATAGTACACTGAACTGTCCATCAGGATAGTACACTGAACTGTCCATCAGGCATTTGCCAAGTATTCACATTTTGCCCCATTTGCTTTCTCTCTCTAATAGCTAATCCAAATTCAGATTTCCCCAATTGTCCCCAAAATGTATTTTAATTTTTAGAGACAGGGTCCCACTCAGTCACCCGGGCTGCAGTGCAGCAGCTCAATTACAGCCTGCTGCAGCCTCAAACTCCTGGGTTCAAGTGATCCTCCTTCCTTAGCCTCCTCTGGAGTGCTGGGATTACAGACACGAGCCACTGTGCCTAACTCAGTGTGTCTTTGGCTTTACCTGCTGCTCCAGGATCCAATCAAGAATCACAAATTATATTTTGTTTTTTGTTTTTTGAGCCAGAGTCTCACTCTGTTGCCTAGGCTGGAGTGCAGTGGTGTGATCTTGGCTCACTGCAGCCTCTGCCTCCTGGGCTCAAGCAATCCTCCCGCCTCAGCCTCCCGAGTAGCTGGGACTATAGGTGTGCACCACCATGCCCGGCTAATTTTTGTGTTTTTAGTAGAGAAGGGGATTCACCATGTTGCCTGGTTGGTCTCAAACGCCTGACCTCAGGTGATCTGCCCCTGCCTCAGCCTCCCAAACTGTTGAGATTATAGGCGTGAGCCACCGTGCCTAGCCAGAAATTGTATTTAGTTTTATCTCTTTGGTGTCTTTGAATCTATAACAGTATCCTGCCCCCCCCCCCTTATTAGTTGTTTTTTTATGACATGGACTTTTTTGAAAAGCTCAAGCCACATTCTGGGTTTTTCTGATATTTCCTCAAAGTAGCATTGAATTTGTTCCAATATAGCCTATGTTTTCTGTACACTGGACATTAGGTCTATGCTAGAGGTTTGATTAGATTCAAGTTAAATCATTTTGCCCAAAATCTTTCACAGGTGATGTTGTATATTTATGTTGCATCCCATTAGGAGGCATATCATGTCAGGTTGCTCTGCTACTGGTGATGCTAAGTTTAAACACTTGGTTAAACTGGTATCTACCAGATCTCTGCATTGTAAGAGCACATGTTTGTCTTTCTAATTAGTCAGGAATAAATGATGTGATTCTCCCAGACTGTGTGAATGTGCTTCCCCAACATCTTTCACACAGTGGTTTTAGCACTCATCAGTGGTCTTTGCCTGATTAACTATTACATTTAAGGTTGCAAAATGGTGATTTTTCTACTTCTGCCATTCCTTCTACATTTATTAGCTGGCATTTTTCCATAAAGAATAGCTCACTTTCTTTTATCTTTCTTTGTCTCTCTCATGTCTTTCCTTCATGCCCCTATAACTCTTTCATGGAGCCACCCTGTCTGCAAGGGAAGCATGGGAAATATCTGGCCAAGGAGGGCGAGATTTCCACAACTGGACTGGACCTTCCATAGAACTGGGCACTTTGTTGTCCAAAACAAAATGGGATTCAGTTTACAAACGAGAAAGAGGGAATTGCTATTGGCTAGACAGCTATCCATGTCTCCCATAATAAGAGGGACAGAAAAATATGAATATGTAGATAAATACTTTGTTATGCAATATAATACAATTGGGTTTTATTTTTATTTTTATATATTTTTTGAGATGGAGTCTCGCTCTGTCGCCAGGCTGCATTGCAGTGGTGCAATCTCGGCTCACTGCAACCTCCGTCCCCCAGGTTCAAGCGATTCTCCTGCCTCAGCCTCCCAAATATCTAGGATTACAGGCACATGCCACCACGCCTGGCTAATTTTTTGTATTTTTAGTAGAGACAGGGTTTCACCGTGTTAGCCAGGATGGTCTCGATCCCCTGACCTCGTGATCCACCCCCCTCGGCCTCCCAAAGTGCTGGGATTACAGGCGTTAGCCACCATGCCTGGCCTTTTAATTTTGCATTTTTAGTAGAGACTGGGTTTCACCATGTTGGCCAGGATGGTCTTGACCTCTTGACCTCATGATCTGCTCGCCTCAGCCTCCCAAAGTGCTGGGATTACAGGCATGAGCCACCGCACCCGGCCACAATTGAGTTATTTATAAAATACTATGGGACACAGACCACACACATTCACAAAACCCCATTAGACATCACCACCACCAACACCACAGGAATGCAGTTCAGCATTAATGTTCATCAAAAGATGATTGGTTAAATAAAACTATCATACCTCCATACTCTGCAGCCAAGAAAAACCTCCCTCTATTTTTGTTTTACAAGGAAAGATGGTCACAACATATTATTGGACCGAAGTGTAGGTTATAAGACAGTGTGTTTAAAGTGGTACAATTATTTACTTATCCCCATTTTACAGATGTGGAAGCTGAGGTTGAGGACAATCTTGGAGGGCAACCACATAAGTCAGGGAGGACAGAATATTCTGTAAGGGGAGGAGTGACCAGAAGGGAAGGAGGAGAGTCCATATATGCAGACACACTGACCATAAAGCCAAGGGGACAAAGGACAGTAGGGAAGCAGCAAGCAGCAATGTAGTGGCCAGACTCCAAAACGTGGGGCAGAGACAGGTAGGCGACTTGGTAGAGGGCAGTCTCAACAAGGCTAAAGTCGGAAGGCAGAGCCTGGGACGTGAAGGGGAAGATGTAAGTCCCTGTGGATGGATGGGATTCCTAGGAAGCAGAAGGAATAAAATTCTGCATCAAAAAGGCAAGATCAGATGGTAAGTAACAGGGGCTATTTAAACATAAGGTAGAAGGCTGGTCACAGTAGCTCACACCTGTAATCCCAGCACTTTGGGAGGCCGAGGCGGGTGGATCATTTGAGGTCAGGAGTTTGAGACCAGCCGGGCCAACATGGTGAAACCCCGTCTCTACTAAAAATAGAAAAAATAGCTGGGTGGTAGTGGCGCACACCTGTAATCCCAGCTACTTGGGATGCTGAGGCAGGAGAATCGCTTGAGCCTGGGAGGCAGAAGTTGCGGTGAGCCGGGAGCATGCCAGTGCACTCCAGTCTGGGTGACAGAGTGAGACCCTGTCTCTAAATAAATAAATAAACATAAGGTAGAAGACCCAAGCCTGTGTGAAGGGGGAGAGATTGAACATGTAAGTGAGGGAGGAGAGGGTCGGGATGGAGAAGGGAGAAGACATAGGGACTGCTCTTTGGGGCTCTTTGCTTCTGCCTCTGTAACTGTTGTTCATTATGCTTTATTTATTCTTTTTTTGTTTTGTTTTGTTTTGTTTTAGAGACGGAGTCTTGCTCTGTCGCCCAGGCTGGAGTGCAGAGGCGCAGTCTCGGCTCACTGCAAGCTCCGCCTCCTGGGTTCATGCCGTTCTCCTGCCTCAGCCTCCCAAGTAGCTGGGACTGCAGGTGTCCGCCACCATGCCCGGCTAATTTTTTTGTATTTTTAGTAGAGACGGGGTTTCACCGTGTTAGCCAGGATGGTCTTGATCTCCTGACCTTGTAATCTGCCTGCCTCAGCCTCCCGAAGTGCTGGGATTATAGGCGTGAGCCACTGCGCCCAGTCCATTATGCTTTATTTATTCTGTAGTTCATTGTCCCAACAGATTTTCAGCACCTTCTGGGCACCAGGCATTATGATTGCTCTCATATCTGTCTCTCCCAATAGTCGTAACAAGCCTTGATGGCGGGATCCATGGAATGGCAGAGGCTAAGGTTGGGATACAGGTCTTTTTACTTACTGGTTCTGTGACCATGGACTATTAAACTATTTTTGCCTTTTTAAGGCCACAGGCAGGTCTGGCTATGGGGCTAAGTTTTAGCCATGGAATAAAAATGGAAGGGTTATTTGCACACACCTCACTGATCCTCAGTCGTTTTGTTGTACTTCAGTCATTTGATAGTATTTCCTACTTTGTAGGGTTGTATTGATCAAATAAATTAAGGTCTGTAAAGACTTTTCTCAGAACTAGGCCCATAGGTAGGTAATTGTATCAGTTATAATTAGGTTTGGCTTAGAGTGACAGAAAAACTCAAACAGTGGCTAAAATTTATTACAATTTCTTTTCTCTCATTTACAAGGACTCCAGTAGATATGAAAGTTCATAGTGACAGGGTCTCAAGATCTTTTATCATATTGTTCCACTAGCTTCAGCCCATGATTTAGCTTCAGCCCATGATTTAACTTCATGGTAAGAAATGGCTGCTCAAGTTCCAGCCACCACGTCCACATTTCATCCAGTTCAAAGGAAGATGAGTCCAAAGAAATGCATTTCTTCTGGAAGTTGCAAATAACCCTTCCATTCCATGGCCAGAACGTTTTAAAGTTCAGAACTAGTTTAAAATTAACATTAAATTCATATAGAATATCCAGGATTAAGTTTATAGCTTATATATTTCAGAAATAAAGGATACTCTTGTTTAATAAATAAATTCTCATTAGGTGAATTGTAGTAAAGATTTTTTTGTCAAGAGGAAGTTTGTAACTGTGTGTTAGCAGTTGCATTGCTAAATACATCACTTTTTGTTGTTTAAGATACTGTTGCTGGGCGCAGTGGTTCACGCCTGTAATCCCAGCACTTGGGGAGGCCGAGGTGGGCGGATCATGAGGTCAGGAAATCGAGACCATCCTGGCTAACACTGTGAAACCCGTCTCTACTGAAAATACAAAAAATTAGCTAGGCATGGTGGCATGCACCTGTAATCCCAGCTACTCGGGAGGCTGAGGCAGGAGAATCGCTTGAACCCAGGAGGCGGAAGTTGCAGTGAGCCAAGATCATGTCACTGCACTCCAGCCTGGGCGACAGAGCAAGACTCCATCTCAAAAAAAAAAAAAGAAAAAAAGATATTGTTGAGAAGCTCATCATGCCTTATATTAATAAAGTGATTCTCAAAGTTTTGTCTACAGATAAAAGCGGTGCCTTAAAACACAACTGTGCTACTAGACATCAGGGCAGGGTTGCTCTTAAGGAAGTAGGATAGTGACTGAGCAGGGATGTGAGACAGCTTCTAAGGAGCTGGCAGCGTTCTCTTTCTCGATCCGAGTGCTGGTTACATGGGCGTGCTCAGTATATGAAAATTTCTTGAGCTGCACACTTAGAATCTGTGCACTCCTAGTTTCTATGTTATACTTCAATGCATGTTTTGTAAATGGTCACGTGGATCTATCAGTTTATAGGACATACAGAACATTGAGGACATGTTAATCACTCCAGCCTTTTTCCATATGTCTCTGTGTTTTCCTCCCAGGGAAATGAAGAATATTGATCCAAAAGCAGCAGATACAAAAAAGGCAAACCACATGTTCATCCCACCTTCAGCCGTCAATGAGGAATCACCTGACAAGAAAACTAAGGGAAGTCTCCAAAGAGAAATTGAGTTTAAGGGTTGTTCGAACAAAAACCATGGGAAAGGTAGAAGTGTGAACATGTAAGAATAATAATTATTTTATTTTATTTTATTTTACTGAGACAGAGTCTCACTCTCTCCTCAAGGCTGAGTGCAGTGGTGCCATCATAGCTCACTGCAGCCTCCACCTCCTGGGCTCAAGCAATCCTCCCACTTCAGCCTCCTGAGTAGCTGGGACCACAGGTGTGTGCCACCATGCCCAGCTCATTTTTTATTTTTGTAGAGTTGGGGGTATCACTATGTTGCCCAGGCTGGAAAATTCTTAAAACACAGGAAAGAGCATATAAAAGTTCACTTATGGCCAGGCACTGTGGCTCACGTCTGTAATCCCACTACTTTGGGAGGCCGAGGTGGGCGGATCATGAGGTCAGGAGATCGAGACCATCCTGGCCAACATGGTGAAACCCCATCTCTACTAAAAATACAAAAATTAGCTGGGCATGGCAGTACGTGCCTGTAATCCCAGCTACTCGGGAGGCTGAGGCAGGAGAATCGCTTGAACCCGGGAGCTGGAGGTTGCAGTGAGCCGAGATCACGCCACTACACTCCATCCTGGAGACAGAATGAGACTCCGTCTCAAAAAAAAAGTTCACTTACTTTTATGTATTACTCACACCACTCTCATTTTAGTTTTAGTGTTATTATTGGTAGTAGTAAGGGCTACTAATGATTTTGTACTTCCTCTGTACCAAGTGTTGGCCTATGTACTTCATGAACTGTATGAGACAGAGCTCCTTGGTTGCATGTGCCAGGAAGCCAGCTCAAACTAGCTTAAATGGAAGGAGAATGTAGCAGCTTAAATAACTGGGAAGGTCATGATAGGCCATCTGCAGGCATATTAGACCTGACAGCTTGATATTTTCAGGCTCTTTCTCTGTCTGTCTCTTGATCCTCTTCCCTTCTGTGGGCTGACTTCTTTTTCAAGCTGCCTCTGCCTCAGGGCCATGGACAGCCCAAGTCTGTCTCCTTATAGTCCTGACCTAAAAAGCCATGTCCACTTTGCTGGAGCACATCTTCTAGCAGTTCCCAAAACGAAGGTATATGGGAAATTATTTGAGTCTTTGCATATCCAAAACATCTTTTTTTTTTTTTTTTTTTTTTTGAGATGGAGTCTCCTTCTGTCACCCAGGCTGGAGTGCAGTGGCACAATCTTGGCTCACTGCAACTTCCTCCTCCTGGGTCTAAGCAGTTCTCCTGCCTCAGCCTCCCTGAGTAGCTGGGACTACAGGCGCGTGCCACCATGCCCAGCTAATTTTTTTCGTTTTTTTGTTTTGTTTTGTTTTGTTTTGTTTTGTGTAGCAGAGATGAGGTTTCACCATGTTGGCCAGGCTAGTCTCAAACTCTTGACCTCAGGTGATCCGCCCGCCTCAGCCTCCCAAAGCCCTGGGATTACAGGTGTGAGCCACCATTCCCGGCCCTTTGTTCTATTTTTAAAATAATTATTTAAGAGATGAGATCTTGCTGTGTTGCCCAGGCTGGTCTCGAACTCCCGAGCTGAAGCAGTCCTCTCGCCTTGGCCTCCCAAAGTGCTGGGATTACAGACATGAAAAAATGTCTTTGTTCTTGATTGATATTTGGCAAATGTTTTGCTGGAAATAAAATTCTAAGTTAAAAGTCAATATTCTACAGAATTTTGGAGAATTTTTCCTGCCTGCTGCTTTTACTGTTGAGAAGTCTCACGCTATTCTGATTCCTATGGCTTTGTGGGTCACTGTCTTCCCAGCTGTGGGAACTTCTAGGATATTGTCTTCATTCTTAGTATCCTGAAGTTTCACAATGATATACCTTGGTATGAGTCCTTTTCTTAATATGCGTCACTGAGGTCGGGAGTGCTCTCAGTCCAGAGGGTAGAGTCCTTCAATTCTGAGAATTTTGCTTGTATTATTTCTTAGAAAATTTCCTTCATTTTCTTTGCTATTTCTGGAACTATGATAGTCAATTGTCAGACCTGCTGGACTGATCCTTTAATTTTCTTATCTTTCTTCATTCTCCTCTTGGCATCTGTATATATATTTCTTTTCTTTTTCAAACAACGTAAATGTATTTTCTCACAGTTCTGGAGGCCGAAGTCCAAAGTCAAGGTGTCAGCAGGGCCATGCTTCCTGTGCGGGGTTCAGGGTAGTCTTCCTTTGCCTCTCCCTAGCTTCGTGCGGTTGCCAGCAGTCCGTGGCTGTCCTTGGCTTGTAGAGGCCTCACTCCAATCTCTGCCTCTGTCATCACCTGGCCTTCTTCATGTCTGTCTGCATCTATTCTTCTAAAGACAGCAGTCATATTGGATAAAGGCCCACCCTAATGTCTTCATTGAACTTGATTACATCTGCAAAGACTATTTCCAAAAAAGGTCTTATTCACGGGTACTGGGGTTTACAACCTTAACATGTCTTTTGGGGAACATATTCCCCAAAACCTATAACAGCTTTCTTCTTCTTCTTTTTTTCTTTTTTTTTTTTTTTTGAGATGGAGTCTTGCTCTATCGCCCAGGCTGGAGTGCAGTGGCGCGATCTTGGCTCACTGCAACCTCCGCCTCCCAGCTTCATGCCATTCTCCTGCCTCAGCTTCCCACGTAGCTGGGACTACAGGCACCTGCTACCACACCTGGCTATTTTTTTTTTTTTTTGTATTTTTAGTAGAGACGGGGTTTCACTGTTAGCCAGGATGGTCTCGAACTCCTGACCTCGTGATCCACCCGTCTCGGCCTCCCAAAGTTCTAGGATTACAGGCGTGAGCCACTGCGCCCAGCATTTTTTTTTTTTTTTTTTTTTTTTTAGACAGAGTCACTCTGTTACCCAGGCTGGAGTGCAGTGGTGCAATCTCGGCTCACTGCAACCTCCACTTCCCGGGTTCAAATGATTCTCCTGCCTCAGCCTCCTGAGTAGCTGGGACTACAGGTGTGCACCACCACGCCCGGCTAATTTTTGCATTTTTAGTAGAGATGGGGTTTCACCATGTTGGCCAGGCTGGTCTCGAACTCCTGACCTCAGGTGATCCACCCACCTCGGCCCCCCAAAGTCCTGGGATTACAGGCATGAGCCACCGCGCCTGGCTAAAATTTCTTTGTAGAGACAGGGTCTTGCTGTGTTGGCATTTTCAACGTATAGAATCATGCTATCTGTAAATAAAGATAGTTTTACTTCTTCATTTCCAATTTGGATGCCTTTCATTTCTTGCCTAATTATCTGTCTAGAGCTTCTGATACAAAGTGGAATACCAGCCATGAAAGGAGGCATTTTGTCCTGTCCCTGGTCCTAGGGAAAGGCTTTCAGTCTTTAACCATTGAGTGTGCTGTTATCTGTGGGTTTATCATAAATGTCCATAATCATGTTGGAGTAATTCCATCCTATTCCTATTTTTCTGATTGTTTATTATCATGAAATGCTGTTGGTTCTTGTCAAATGCTTTCTCTGCATCATTTGAGATAATTATGTAGGGTTTTCCCTTCATTCTTTTATTGTGCTCTATACACTGATCGATTTATGTTTCACTGAGGGGAACTACCTGGGATAAATCCCACTTGTTCCTAGTGTATAATCCTTTTAATATTTTAGTATTTGTTGAAGATCTCTGCATTTGTATTCTTAAGGAAGAGTGGTCTATAATTTCTTTTCTTGTCATTTCTTTGTCTAGTTCTGGTATCAGTATAATGCTGGCCCCATAAAATGAGCTATGAAATACTGTTACCTCTTCTATTTTTTGGAAGAGCTTGAGAAGAATTGGTGTTAATTCTTCCTTAATGGTTTGGTAGAATTCACAAATGAAGCCCTGTAGTCTTTCACTTTTCTTTGTTCAAAGGGAGATTTTTGATTATTGATTCAATCGTTTTATTTGTTATAAGTCTATGCAGAATTTTTATTTTTTTCTTGAGTCAGTTTTGGTAATTTGTGTATTTCTAGTTTTCCATTTCATATAGGCTATATAATTTATTGGCATTTGTATTCTCTTACAAGCTTTATTTCTGTAAGGTCGGTAATCATGTTCTCACTTTCATCTATGTGTGTCCTTTTCTTGGTAGTCATTCAAACTCAAAGTTTGTTAATTTTGTTGATAACTAACATTTTGTTTCTTTCAATTGACTTTCTATTTTTTCTATTCTCTATTTCACGTCCTCTGCTCTAATCTTAATCTCCTTCCTTCTACCAGCTTCAGATTTAGTTTGTGCTTCTTTTGCTAGGCCCATAAGTCATAAAGTGAAGTTATTGATTTGAGATGTTTCTTGTTTTTAAAACATAGGCATTTATGGCTATAAATTTCCCTCTTAGCACTGCTTTTGCTGCACTCCATAAGTTTTATTGTGTTATGTTTTTGTTTTTATTTCAAAATATTTTTTAGTATATCTTGTGATCTCTCCTTCAAGTTGTAGCATGTTCTTTCCAAATACGGACAGTGAACCTAAATAGAAGAAGTGTAGGCCAGGCACAGTGGCTCATGCCTGTAATTTCAGCACTTTGGGAGGCCAAGGCAGGCGGATCACGAGGTCAGGAGATTGAGACTATCTTGGTCAACATAGTGAAACCCTGTCTCTACTAAAAAAAAAAATACAAAAAACAAATTAGCTGGGCATGGTGGTGCATGCCTATAATCCCAGCTACTTGAGAAGCTGAGGCAGGAAAATCACTTGAACCCGGGAGTCAGAGGTTGCAGTGAGCTGAGATCGCGCCACTGCACTCCAGCCTGGCAACAGAGCGATACTCCGTCCCAAAAAAGAAAGAAAAAAATAAATGTAATGCTTTCGTGAAATATTAAAGGAAGTCCTTTAGGCTTGTGAGACTAGTCTCCATCCCATAGCCCAGCAAATAATATTCTGAAGATTCACATCTGGAGGTGTGAAGCAGATAGACAGAGTTAGAAAACACAATCCAGGTTTTCAGCGTCACCAGAGGGATGTCACCTCCAATGGAGTAGTACCTGCCTGCTACCTAGAGGTTTTTGGGGCCCAGTTCAGATCCGACACAGCAGTGTTCCTGTCAGTACTGGTGAAAGATGAAGGATGGAGGCACTGGGGATGTGGAAGCCGTGGATGCCAGCTGTCCTGCTCGACCACTTTCTCTGGAGGCAGGAGCACGCCCTCAATATTCCATGCACACAAGGATCACCACTGGCCACGCCACTGCTCACGTGCAAAGTCTTTGAAGAAATTACATTTTTTAAATTAATTTTTGTTTTTGTTCGTTTGTTTCCCCCACAGGAGGGGAAAGGAGGAGAGGGAAAGAGAAGAGAAACAGAAGTTGAACATTTCTTTCCACTCACTTCCAAGCCCTGAGGAGCTCCACAACCTAGAACCAGGAAGCGCCTACAGAATCCGTGATATTTCTGCTACGAGGTGGAGTGGAACAAGAAAATAAGAAAATTGTGGCCAAAGACAGAAATAGGAATCATGATTTCTCCATAGGGGAAGGATTCCGTTGTAGTTTTTCCTAGGCTGAGTGAAAAGCAGGAGTAGAGAGTTGGTGCTTGGGTCACTACATTTATTCATAGATTTACTCTTTCAGTATTTTATTACGTGCATGCTGGTAAGTATGTTACAAATATGACCTCATACAAAGGTAAAACTTTCATACCAGCCGTATGAAGTAGGGATTATCCACTGCATTTTACGCAGCAGCAAGCCCAGGTTTAGAAAGGTTTCCGAAGTTCTCTGCTGTAGACACTGGGTAATTAACAGTAGATAAGACACAGTCCCTGTTCTCAAGGGAGTCACCATCTGGTAGAGGGAAGACAGATGTATCAACACATTAAATGCTGTAAGTATTGGACAGAGGAAAAAGAGAAAAGTGTTGTGAGGGAAAAGGAAAATGGGCCTAGAGGAGTGCAATTTTTTGTAACAAGCTTTGTGGAACTATTAATTTGATAATTTGATAGGCGCTTCTATTATGCTGCCTCTGAACCTTTGCCTCCTGCTCCTCTAACCACTGGGATTGCCAGCCTATTTCCAATATGCCCTCTTTCTGCCTGGCAAACATCTTGTCTTTTCTAAACTCAGCCCAGGGACATGACATCTGTAATGTGTTTCTGTGTGACTCCCAGGCTTCTGCCTTCTTAACCTCTCACCTTCCAGCTCATTTGAGTGAATCTTTGTCCAAGAATTGAGAGAAACTTTATAGGTAAAGCATGCACATGTTGTCTGATTTAATCTAAAATAGAAATAAGAAAACAAAAAATAATACTGCAACTAGGGACACATTTAGTCACTCCCAGTTCATGAGACAAGGAATAGTAAAGTTCATTCCTACCATAGCAAAAGTCAGGATTTAAATGTAAATTAATTTTTTTAATTAAAAAATTTTAAATTAGGCCAGGCGTGGTGGCTCACACCTGTAATCCCAGCACTTTGGGAGGCTGAAGTGGGCAGATCACGAGGTCAGGAGTTCGAGACCATCCTGGCCAACATGGTGAAACCCCATCTCTACTAAAAATACAAAAATTAGCTGGATGTTGTGGCGGGCACCTGTAATCCCAGCTACTCGGGAGGCTGAGGCAGAAGAATCGTTGGAACCCAGGTGGCGGAGGTTGCAGTGAGCCAAGACCATGCTATTGCACTCCAGCCTGGGCAACAAGAGCGAAACTCTGTCTCAAAAAAAAATTTTTTTTAATTAATTTTAACTAAATTAAATTTTTTAGAGGCAGACTCTCAGTCTGTTGTCCAGGCTGGAATGCAGTGGCGCAGTCATAGCTCACTGCAACCTCAAATTCCTGGGCTGAAGCAATCCTCCCACCTCAGCCTCCCAAGTAGCTAGGACTACAGGTATGCCACCATGTCTGGCTAATTTTTAAAGAAATTTTTTTGTAGAGATGGGATCTCACTGTGTTGCCCAGGCTGGTCTCGAACTCCTGGCTTCAAGTAATCCTCCTGCCTTGTCCTTCCAAAGCACTGGGATTCTAAGTGTGAGCCACCACACCTGGCCTGGAGTATCTAATATTGTATAACATAATAATAGTAATCATAGGTGATGTCATTTATTGAGTACTTAGTATGTGCTGAGTGCTCTGCTAAGTCTGGTTTAGACATTATCTCAGTTAACCTTCCTGGTGTCCCCCAAGATGGATATTGTTACCTCCATTTTCTCCTAGGAAGAAACGGACTTGGGGGGGATGATTAGGTATTTGCTAGATGTCTATTCTGTACCATCCCTGCACTAGGCCCTGTGAATACAGAGATAAATAAAGACACAGTCCCTGACCTTATGGGGCTCACAATCTGGAAAAAAGAGAAGGATGTGTAAACCAATAAATGCATTAATGCTCCGATAGAAAGCTGCGTGGAATCTGAGAAAAACCAAGGCAGATGAAGCCAGTGTGCCAGCAGCCCTTTGGGACAGAAGATATTTCACTGAGGGGCACAGGCACAGGGGTTGGTTTGCCAAAGGACCAGCAGCTGGGCTGAAGGGCATAGGTTTTATCATTTGAGCTTCAAGGCACAAGGCAGTGACCTGGTCTGTGCTAGAACAGTTCACCTGTCACAGCCAAGAGGAAAGAAATGGTGCAGATGGCTGTTTGCCCAAACCAAGCAGCAGATAAGCAGATCTTGGGAAATGTAGCTCATCCCTCAGACACACATCTTTACTTGAATCCTGAGTAGAACTCTAGGTGACCCCCTTGGAGGCTATTACTCATGTAAAAGGGGATGAAGGAAAGGTAAGAGAGAAGGAGCTTAGGCTTTGGCATGAGAAAATTTGGGCCTTTGAATCCCTGCCCTGCTTCACCATATGGATGTGTGACTCAGCATAGTAGCTGTGCATCTTGACCTTTCTGAACGTGCTTTCTTGACTGCAGAAAGGGAATGCCTGCCTAGGAGGGTTGTTGTGAGGATTAGATGAGATAATTTGTGCAAAGTTCTTGGCACAGTACTTTTCACTTTGTAATTGCCACAAGCTGTTATTGTTGTTATTGCTGTTATAAAGTGTACTCTTCTTGGCCGGGTGCAGTGGCTCATGCCTGTAATCCCAGCACTTTGGGAGGCCAAGGCAGGTGGATCGCCTGAGGTCAGGAGTTTGAGACCAGCCTGGCCAACGTGGCGAAACTCCATCTCTACTAAAAATACAAAAAAATTAGCCGGGCACAATGGCAGGTGCCTGTAACCTCAGCTACTCAGGAGGCTGAGGCAGGAGAATCACTTGAACCCGGGAGGTGGAGGATGCAGTGAGCTGAGATTGCACCATTGCACTCCAGCCTGGGTAACAAGAGTGAAACTCCATCTCAAAAAAAAAAAAAAAAAAGTATAGTCTTCTGAAACCAGAACGTGTGAGCACCTGCCGAGTACAAGGCACCATGTGGGGCAGATAAGCAGAACACTCTCTCACCTTCCCTTTACTACCCCAGCCACTGTCAACTCTTCATTTGCAGTTTCTCTAGGAACCACACTTTCCTATTTCTGGATCTTTTGTCTGTTGCTGCTTCTGGACCTGAAAATGCCTTCTCCTCCCTCCTCTTTGTTAACTGCCAACATCACTAATTCCTGCTCTTCCTCCAGGACCCCGCTTAGACGTCCCTCATCTTGGGAGCCTTCCCTAATATACCAGGAGCAAGGTAGGCACAAGTGCTCCACTGCATTATGCTCCAACAGCATTCTGTGCCATCCCATTATGGCAGCAGTTACCATAGTAGATTGGAATTGCCTGTCTACCTATCCACCGCTACTATTAGCCCCCATACAGCAAGAAGGTCTCCTTATTTTCTAAGCCCAGGACAAACTGCATTTCTGTCTGTCAGGACCATTTGTTGCACAGTCCAAGATCATCCCTGCATGGACCCTTTCCAGAAATGACTGAGGACTCAGAGTTGTAGCCTCTCAGGATGTTAAATATGAAGAAACCTGTCTCTGCCCTTTGTAAACATTAGAAGGGAAAATTATGGGGAAGAATTATTTGCCCTTTATAAGGGAAGCGGGGTAGAGCATCAAAGGGAACTAACATTTAAAAAGCATTTGCTGTAATGTGGGATAAAGCAAATGAGTAATTGTATGATATTCTAATTCTGTCATTCCCAGTGTTGCTGAAAACCCATACTCTCAGCATGGAAGAAGATAAATTCAGATGTTAAACTAGAAGAGATGAAGTTAAAATCCTATAGTCCTGATTTTGAATTGCTTATGAATTGATGATGAAATGTATGTTTTAGAACATACAGTTTCCTGAAGAACAGGAGGGATAGCTGGAGAGGGGATAGGAGGGAAGCTGGAAGGGGTTACAAAGAGGCCCAAATAAACTTTTGGGGGTGACAGATATGTCTACTATCTTGATTGTGGTGAATGGCTCATGGGTGTATACACACCTAAATACACTTTAAATGTGTGCAGTTTCTCATATGTCAATTATACTTCGATAAAGCTTTGTTAAAAAACGAACAGGCCAGGCATGGTGGCTCACACCTGTAATCCCAGCACTTTGGAAGGCCAAGGCAAGAGGATTGCTTGAGGCCAGGAGTTTGAGACCAAACAGGACAACATAGTGAGACCTTGCCTCTACAAAAACATAAAAAATTAGTCCGATGTGGTAGTGCATACCTATAGTCCTAGCTACTAGGGAGGCTGAGGTGGGAGGATCGCTTGAGCCTGGGAGCTTAAGGCTGCCATGAGCTGTGATTGTGCTACTAGACTCAGCCTGGATGATAGAGCAAGACTGTGTCTGGGAAAAAAAAAAAAAAAAACCTGAGCCAGGTGCGGTGGCTAACGCCTGTAATCTCAGCACTTTGGGAGGCCGAGGCGGGTGGATTGCCTGAGACCAGTAGTTTGAGACCAGCCTGACCAACATGGCGAAATCCTGTCTCTACTCAAAATGCAAAATTAGCCGGGTGTGGTGGCAGCTGCCTGTAGTCCCGGGTACTCGCAAGGCTGAGGCAGGAGAATTGCTTGAACCCAGGAAGCGGAGGTTACAGTGAGCCAAGATCATGCCACTGCACTCCAGCCTGGACAACACAGTGAGACTCTGTCTCAAAAATATGTGTATATATTTCCTAAAACTCTGTCCACTGAAATGACCTAGAAATAAAGACTGACCCGGCAGCAGTGACCCAGACTGTGGTCTTGAAATACTATTTGCCCTAAAAGGATCTAGGGATCCTTGAAGAAATGATCAGTTCCAGGTCTAGGGCAGGAAAATCATGAGACCTGAAACATCTTATCACACTTAACACCAAGGAAGCTATCAAAGACAAGGATCCTGTCAGAAAGACTTGGGAGCAAACTTAGAGACAATCCCATTAGCTAAAAGAGAGGACCATTTGGGCATTAATAATAATTGCCATATTTGAAGCACGTCAAACGTGTTCTCACCTGTAAGTTCATATTGTGACTTTTAAAAAACGGATTGGTGTCTGGACGCGGTGGCTCACGCCTGTAATCCCAGCACTTTGGGAGGCCGAGGTGGGCAGATCACCTGAGGTCAGGAGTTTGAGACCAGCCTGGCCAACAAGGCAAAATCCCGTCTCTACTAAAAATACAAAAATCAGCCAGGCGTGGTGGTGCATGCCTGGAATCCTAGCTATTCGGGAGGCCGAGACACAAGAATCACTTGAACTTGGGAGGCGGAGGTTACAGTGAGCTGAGATCGCACCACTGCACTCCAGCCTAGGTGATGGAGTGAGACTGTCTCAAAGATAAAAAAGGAAAGGGGAAAGGAGGAAACTAATTGGATACTAGGAAACTTCCTCATTATTTTGAAAATTGGTAAGTAAATGAATAAGCATTTATCATGCCATTCCCATATGAACTGTATTACCAGGTAACCAAATAGTAGTGGAACAGAAACTTGTCTTTAGAAACAATCCACCTAATAAATTCAGAAATAATGATAGACTTAAAATATCACCATTTTGAAACCCCTAATGAATTAATGGATCTAGGTTGATTATCCATGGCTGCTTACATCACAAAAGACAAACAGCTATTAAATGCCTTTTGATACTAGACCATAAGACCACCTATCAAATAGTCTTACAAATAAGTAAACTTGAATGTGATCTGAACTCTAGATCCAACCACCATAACAGGAAATACAGAGGATGGGGACATCATGGCAAATGGTAAATGACACCTAGGGGATGCAATCAGCAAAATCCAGGCCATGGAAAACTCCAGGGCAAATGACTTCATTTTTTTCAACAAATAAGTTTCAAGGGAAAAAGAGAGGGGGAATATATAGATTAAAAGAGACTTAAAAGAGGACATCGGTTGCCGAGCATGGTGGCCCATGCCTGTAATCCCAGCACTTTAGGAGGCCAAGGTGGAAGAACCCCTAGAGCCCAGGAGGTGAGACCAAACCGGGTAACATAGTGAGACCTTGTCTCTACAAAAAAAGTAAAAATTAGCAGAGCAAGGTGGCATACGCCTGTAGTCCTAGCTACTTGGGAGGCTGACGTGGGAGAATTGCTTAAGCCTGGGAGTTGGAGGGTGCAGTGAGCTATGATCATGCCACTGCACACTCCAGCCTAGGTGACAGAATGAGACCACATCTCTAAAAAGAAAAAAAAAAGACATCAATCAATTACAACATGTGGACATTATTTGGATCCCATTGAAACAAAATGTGGCATTTATGAGACAAATGGATATCTGAATCTTAAATATTTTATATATAAAATTATTCTAGGCGTGATAATAGCATTATGGTTATATTTTTTAAAGAGTTATCACATTTTAGAGATATATACTGAAATATTCACAGATGGAATTACAAGATTTATGGAATTTGTACTCAAATAATATGGGAGAGAGAAAGTGGATGGAGGTATAGGTGAAACAAGATTGACCATGTGTTGAAAATTGTTGAAGATGGGTGATGGGAATATTATACTGTTTTACTTTTGTGCATATTTGATTTTAGCCATAATTTTTAAAATTAAAGGCATCTACCATGGACACTTCTAAGCATATTTTACACACTTTCATTGTGGTCTCACTAAAGCCCTGTGAATGAGGTACAATTTCCCCCATTTTCAAATTGAGGCTCTTCTTGTTTAAAGCACCATTACTCCTGGCTTGGGACTTCTGTTATACAATATTCTCCTAGCATTCTCTTTGCCCTTTCTCTTGCCCCTCCAATCAGTTCTCCACACAGGAGCCCACATACTTCATGTGTATTAACCCATTTAATTCTCACAACTCAGCGCCGATATTATTCTTGGTTTTCAGATACCGAAACTCAGGCACAGAGAGGTTAAATAATTTTCCCAAGACCACACAGCTAGTGAATGGCTGAAGTGTGCTCTATGTCTGGCTTAGTTGCTGCTCCTATGTGTACTTATGACAGGAAAATAAAGTCAAGATATGAATATACAAGCCTGCCATATAGTGGTTTAGCATGTCAGTTAAGAGCATGGTCACTGGAGCCAGACTGTGAGCCTCAGGCAAGTTACTTAACCTCCTGGTGCCCCAGTTCCATCGTGTAAATAGGGGTGATAATTGTTGTGCCTCATGGTGTCTGTGTGAGGAGTGGATGCATGAATCTGTGGGAGGCACTTAGAACAGTGCCTGACACATGGTAAGTGCAGCATGTACTGGCTATCATGATCATTATTGGGTGTTCAACAAATACTCGTTCCTTTTGGCCTCTCTCCTTTAATTTTGAAATTAAAATCCTCCACCAGAACCACTTGCAGTTCCCCAAATAAGCCTCTGTGTTCCTTCTGCCTTTCCCGCCCTGCCCGATTGACAAATCCTCACTGATCCAGCCCCAAGCTAAGGGCCACCATCCCCGCAACCCCAGAGAGAGCCTCTGCTTGGTTCCCAGCTGCATGTCTAATCCCTCTCATCCTGCCTTGTGTGGTGATTATCTCTTTCTGCATTGTCTTCTCTACTAGACTCATGGCTCCTTGAGGGCAGGTACCTACCTGTCTTTATATCCAGCAGAGACGTGGAATTGAGCAGTGTTGAATAAATGCTAGTAAAATAAACTGTCATAGCAAGCCTCTCTTGGACACCTATGTGCTGAAGTTAAAAAGTTTTTCAAATTTGGACTGAAAAAATGAGAAAGCCCAAAATGACTATTAAATATACATGTATGTGTGTGTATACATACACACAGTCATGCACCACGTAACGATGTTTCAGTCAGCAGCTGACTGAATATATGACGGTGGTCCCATAAGATTATAATGGAACTAAACAATTCCTATCACCTAGCGACTCTTAGCCTTCGTAATGTCATAGCGTAACGCATTAGTCACGTGTTTGTGGTGATGTTGGTGTGAACAAATGTACTGTGTTGCCTGCCAGTCATATAAAATATAGTACACAATACTGGGGTAATGGTAATAAATGACTGTTACTGGTTTATGTTTTATTTATTTCATTATTTAATTTTCAGTGTTCTTTAGCTATGGTTTATGTATTTACTATCTTATAGTTTTTATCATTATTTTATGGTGTACTCCTATTTATTAAAAAAAATGTTAACTGTAAAACAGCCTCAGGTAGGTCCTTCAGGAGGTATTCCAGAAGAAGGCATTGTTATCATAGGTGATGACTGCTGCATGCATGTAATTGCCGCAGAGACCTTCCAGTGGGACAAAGATGTGGAAGTGGAAGACAGTGATATTAATGATCCTGACCCTGTGTAGGCCTAGGCTACTGTGTGTGTTTGTGTCTTCATCGTTAACCAAATAAATTTTAGGTAAAAAAAAAAAAAAAAAATTGGCCGGGCACGGTGGCTCACGTCTGTAATCCCAGCAATTTGGGAGGCCGAGGCAGGTGGTTCACTTGAGGTCAGAAGTTCGAGACCAGCCTGGCCAACATGGTGAAACCCTGTCTCTACTAAAAATACAAAAATTAGCCGGGCGTGGTGGCATGCACCTGTAATCCCAGCTACTTGGGAGGCTGAGGCAGGAGAATTGCATGAACCTGGGAGGCAGAGGTTGCAGTGAGCCAAGATAGCGCCACTGTACTCTAGTCTGGGTGACAAAGCAAGACTCCATCTCAAAAAAAAAAAAAAAAAAGGCCAGGCGTGGTAGCTCATGCCTGTAATCCCAGCACTTTGGGAGGCCAAGGCGGGCGGATCACGAGTTCAGGAGATCGAGACCATCCTGGCTAACATGGTGAAACCCCATCTCTACTAAAAATGCAAAAATTAGCCGGGCATGGTGGCGCACGCCTGTAATCCCAGCTACTCAGGAGGCTGAGGCAGGAGAATCACTTGAACCCAGGAGGCGGAGGTTGCAGTGAGCCGAGATCACACCACTGCACTACAGATTGGCGACAGAGTGAGACTTCATCTCAAAAAAAAAAAAAAAAAAATAGTAAATATTTTCATTTACATACAGCCTTTAAAGGAACACATTACCTGGAACAAGATTTAAAGAAGTACAAATATCTAGGCACAAATGAATTTCTGGTTTAGCTTAAACTTCTTTTATAAATAACCATTTACATAAACTTTTAATATATTGAGATATAACATACTTCTATAAGATAGACAATAAATGACAAAGCCCAAAAGGATTATTTTATATATACATAAATATAAACATGTATGTGTTTTATACATATTTTGTGGGTTATACGTACACATAAAAGTTATATATAAATGTTTTATGTATTAAATACTGTATATTATGTATATTATATGTGTATATATATTTACATATATATATACACACAGTCATGTGTCACTTAAACCATGGGGATATGCTCTGAGAAATGCATTATTGGGTGATTTGGTCATCATGTGAACAGTATAGAGTGTACTTACACAGACCTAGTACACTCTATGTTATACCTGACTGCAGGCCTAGGCTATGTGGGATAGCCTATTGCTCCTACGCTACAAGCCTGTACAGCATGTTACTGTACTGAATAATGTAGGCAACTATCACACCATGGTAAATGTTTGTGTGTCTGAACATATCTAAACATAAAAAAGGTACAGTAAAAATATAGTATAAAAGATAAAAAATAGTACAACTACATAGGGTACTTAGAATAAATGGAGCTTATAATAAATGGGCATTTATAATAAATGGATCTGGAAGTTGCTCTGGGTGAGTCAGTGAGTGAGTGGTGAGTGAGTGTGAAGACCTAGGACATTACACTACTATAGACTTTATAAGCATTGTACACTTAGGTTACACGAAATTTATACAAAAATATTTTTCTTTAATGATAAATTAACCTTAGCTTATTGTAACTTTTTTACTTTATAAACTTTAATTTTTTTAAACTTTTAAACTCTTTTGGAGTAGCTTAAAACACACATTGTACAACTATACAACAATATTTTCTTTCTTTATATCCTTATGAGTTTATACCCTTATGAGTGCAATGGTGCGATCTTAACTCACTGCAACCTCCACCTCCCGGGTTCAAGTGATTCTCCTGCCTCAGCCTCCTGAGTAACTGATTACAGGCGCCCACCATCACGCCTGGCTAATTTTTGCATTTTTAGTAGAGATGGGGTTTCACCCTGTTAGCCAGGATGGTCTCGATCTCCTGACCTTGTGATCCACCCGCCTCAGCCTCCCAAAGTGCTGGGATTACAGGCATGAGCCACCATGCCCGGCCTTTTTTTTTTTTTTTTGAGATGGACTCTTGGCTCACTGCAACCTCCACCTCATGGGTTCAAGCGATTCTCCTGCCTCAGCCTCCCGAGTAGCTGGGACTACAAATACACGCCATTGCACCCAACAATAAGTCAAGTTTTTGCCCTGACATTTCATTTATCTAGAACCTGGATAGATTTTTCTAGAACTTGCATGGAGTCTGATTTTTTTCTCAGAACAGTACTCAAGTAGGTGAACAGAAATTGGTAGTATGTGAGCAAAAACAGGACATTTAGCCACCTGGCTGTGGTATATTGGATTATAGTTAAATAAACAATATTTATGAAATTTAAAAGGTGCAAGAGAAGAAAACGTGATTTAAAAAAAAAGCAAGGACAGACTAAGACTGAAGTGAGTATCAACTGTCAATCACAACACTTAGAATGACCTGTTTATGCCTTTTTCTTCCTTGTACTACTGAAAGCAAGATAGGTCACCAGCAGCTCTACTGGAGCCACCCAAGAAAATGTGGCCAGTGTTGGTGCTTTTGTCACGTCTGCTCAAACCAGCAAGGTCTGATTCAGAAATATGGCCTCAGCCGGGTGCGGTGGCTCACGCCTGTAATCCCAGCACTTTGGGAGGCTGAGGCGGGCAGATTACTTGAGGTCAAGAGTTCCAAACCAGCCTGGCTAACATGGCGAAACCCTGTCTCTACTAAAAATACAGAAATTAGCCGGCATGGTGGCAGGCCCCTGTAATCCCAGCTACTCAGGAGGTTGAGGCAGGAGAATCACTTGAACCCAGAAGGTGGAGGTTGCAGTGAGCTGAGATGGCACCACTGCACTCCAGCCTGGGCAACAGAGCGAGACTCCATCTCAAAAAAAAAAAAAAAAAGAAAAGAAAACGAAAAGAAAAGAAAAGGAAATATGGCCTTAATGTGTGCTGCCAGTCAGTACGCGAAGGATATAGGTTTCATTAAGTTGGACTAAGTGATCTTCCTTGAATAGATTATCCAGGGCATCCACTCAATGAAAGAAAAAATCTTTTTACATAAAATAAAAATTTAAAATTTTTTTTTTGAGACGGAGTCTCACTCTGTCATCCAGGCTGGAGTGCAGTGGCGCGATCTCGGCTCACTGCAACCTCCGACTCCCTGGTTCAAGCGATTCTCCTGCCTCAGCCTCCCGAATAGCTGGGATGACAGCCACGCTCCACGACACCCAGCTAATTTTTGTATTTTTAGTAGAGACGGGGTTTCACCATGTTGGCCAGGATGGTCTCGAACTCCTGACCTCGTGATCCGCCTGCCTTGGCCTCCTGAAGTGCTGGGATTCCATGCGTGAGCTACTGCAACTGGCCTAAAACAATTTTTTTAAAGGAACAACCTGTTTATCGGTCTGCCTCTCCCAAGCACTGTTGCTTTCCACAGCAGAGACTTAGTCACCTTTCTATCTGTGTGCTTAGCACAGTGCACACTATTTTTCCCTTAATGCATTTTTCACAATTCTGCTTATATAGTTCTTTGTATAAAATCTATCTTTCCTACTAGACTGTAAGCTCTGTGACAGCTATGAAATAACCAACTCTTTCTCTGCTGGTAAATGGAAACTAGAAAATGGAAACTAGTACAACCAAATATTTCCATGAGCTTTAAATATTTATCAATAGCCTTAAAATTGTCCACAGCCTTTCAATCAATGATTATAAATCCAGAAATCTACCCTAAGAAAAGTGATCCTCAGCCGGGTGCAGTGGCTCATGCTTGTAATCCCAGCACTTTGGGAGGCCAATGTGAGAGGATTGCTTGAGCCCAGGAGTTCAAGACCAGCCTTGGCAACGTAGCGAGACCCCATCTCTATTTTTTTATTATAAATAAATAAAAGTAATCCTAAAAAACAAACAATGCAAAAAGATGCTGACACTAATTAGTAATGTCCAATAACAGGGAATTTGTTAATAATACATTCAATGGAATATTATGCAATCATTTAAAATTATGCTTAAGACATGGAAAAATGCTTATTAGGTGACTGAAAAGTAGGATCAGAAATAAACAGATATGCGGCCAGGTGTGGTGGCTCACACCTGTAAACCCAGCACTTTGGGAGGCCGAGGTGGGCAGATCACGAGGTCAGGAGATCAAGACCATCCTGGCCAACATGGTGAAACCCTGTCTCTACAAAAAATACAAAAATTAGCTGGATGTGGTGGCATGTGCCTGTAATCCCAGCTACTCAGGAGGCTGAGTCAGGAGAATCGCTTGAACGAGGGAGTCAGAGGTTGCAGTGAACTGAGATCACGCTACTGCACTCCAGGCTGGTGACAGAGTGAGACTCTGCCTCAAAAAAAAAAAAAAGAAAGAAAGAAGTAGATATGCAAAAATATATACAACTTTTGCCTTTTATTTTTGCTAATCAATGCTTTGAATAAAGATGGGAACTTTGGTTTTTTATTTTTTGGTTCATAATCCTACAGATTTTTTTTCTTTCCAGTAAATCTATACTAAACCCCTTTAGGTTAATGCAAATCCACACACTGCAGAATTAGTATCTTTCAGAATATTCCCTCTGCTGAGGCAAGAAACACAGTATTTGAAATGTCTATATAAACTAGAAGTGTAAGAAAAAAAGCATGACAAGATTGATGGAACTAGAATACTGAGAAAAAAAGAGAAAGTTTGGCGAATGTAAGAGGTGTTTTACTAGTCATTCATTCTACAAATAAGTATTGAGCTCCAGCTAAATGCACTCTCTTAAGTTAGTACTGGTTCCCTCTTATTACCTGACTAATGAATTACTCATGGGTGTCAGCCTCTAAATGCCATGTTCCCCACTTACCCACAAACTGAATAAGATGTCCCTCCCATGTGTTCCTATGGTACCCCGTATTCCTTCTTGTAACTGGAGGTGAATAATGTAAGACCCTAGGTTAAAATTTTAATCGACTCTTTACAAACAGCAGTCATTTTAAACCTTTATGTAGCCAGGGGAAGAGCCACTAAGAGGTACAGGTCTCAGCAATAGGCTACAAGTACCTTATTCTTAAAGGGAAATTATTTGAAATTGGAGATAAAGAAATGGAACACTGCTGGATGCAGTGGCTCACGCCTGTAAGCCCAGCACTCTGGGAGGCTGAGATGGGAGGATCACTTGAGCCCAGAAGTTTGAGACCAGGGCAACATGGTGAAATCACATCTCTACAAAAAAAATACCAAAAAATTAGCTGGGTGTGGTGGCTTGTGCCTGTAGTGCCAGCTACTCAGGAGGCTGAGGTGGGAGGATCGCTTGAGCCCGGGAGATTGAGGCTGCTGTGAGCCAAGATCTTACTTACCACTGTACTCTAGCCTGGGTGACAGAGGGAGACCCTGACTCAAAAACAAAAAGCAAAACAAAACAAACAAATATTTTTAAGGGGAATTCTACCCAGTGAAATTTGTACGTGATGAGCCTTCATTCTTTAGTTCTCTACTAAAGCATTTCTCAAATTCAAGCTCTTGAAATTTCAAGAATATGTATCAGCAAGCATCACTTTGTAGAAGCCCAACTATACGCGCTGGAATCCTGTGCCTCTATTTGGTTATAAGGTGACTGTCCACGGAGGGGCAGTAAAGTGTAATAGTTTAAAATTCAGGTCTTAACTATAATCCCACTGCCTATTTTTTTATTTCTAAAAATATCATAAAAAGACACAAAATTTTAAAATTGTGTAGAGAAATTGTGGACTTCCTGAAGGATTTGAAAAATTAGGCAAGCTATATTATCCAGTTAATAATTGACACAAAAGCTCTGGTTTGCCATGTTCTATATTGTGGATAGGAAAGTACCATTTTGCCATGCAGGATATATTTTTTTAAATATAAGCATACTTAACAATCTTTCATGGCTTCTGAGTTTTGTAGCATACTTAAAAAGATGTTTCTTATTACAAAGTAATTTTAAATATCCCATATTTTCTTCTAGTACTTTTATTATTTTATTGTTCAGATTTAATTTTTTGATCTGTCTGGAATTTATTTTGGTATAATGTGTAAAGTGTGGTTCCAATTTTATTTTTCTTCCAGATGGTTACCTAGTTGTTCTAACACTATTCACTGAATTCATCATTTCTCCACTGATGTGAAATGCCACCTTCATGATATTCAGAGTTTTTGTATGATACGAAAGACAATTTTTTTGGTTCCGATTTTAGTGGAAAGTCTTCATGTGCACTTTTTAACTGTCCTAGAGTTTGTTGTTGTTTTAAATATCTTAAAAGTTGTCTCTAACCATCGATATGATACCCAGATAAGATTTTTCTCCTCCCTTCATGAATTTGTCATTACCCAGCTCATTTTAGTTTTTTTAAGTGTACTGCACACAACCTTCAAATATTATGAACATTTCTCTCTCCCAGCTGTCACTACACCAAACTACATATGTTATATTTCCCTAAATCATCTTGCTGTGCTCTTTGCAGCTCTTCTGTAGACTGTTGATGTCTTCACCTAACGAGTTGCTCAAAAGTTCCCATAATTATTTAGGTGAGGCCTCAGAGCGAAAGCCTTTCACCACTATCCAGTTCCTCCCCCAAATGGGCATTCATCTCCATATAACAAGGACGACTGTGTTTGGGGGAAAATAACAGATTTGGAAGCACAATGGCAGTTATTTGTTGGCTCTTAAAACAATCCACCTGTTGGGGGGGTGCGTCCTACACAAAATGCCAACTGCTATTGTGGGAATGTTTTGCTATTTATTCCACCAAAATGATTCAGACAGAAAAAACAAAAAGGATCGCCCTGTACTAGGTCTTGAACCCAAAGAACTGTTTGCACAGAGATTCATCCAAGATACATCACAGCCTCCACCTCGGCAGCTGCTCTCTCAAATGTTTCCTGACTCTCCCCAAGTCAGTCTCCGCGTGAGGGGAGGAGGAGGATGCTGCCAGCGATGGCGCTGCTGGCACGAAGGCTGGCCTGCGACTTCTATTTAAAAGCTGAACCAAAATATACTTGGCGTCTGTGGTCTATTTAAAACTTCAAGTTAAGACAGAGAAAAAATTACTCTCCATCCTGAATGGGCCTCGGGTGTCTCAATCACAGACAAGAGTGGCAAATGGTGAGAGTCAGAAAGTGGGAAATTAGGAACGCTGAGGGAGCACGGCCAAACTCTGAAGCCAGCATGAAAACCTGGAGGTGAAAAGAGAAGCCATGGGCAGCGGGGGCGGGGGGAAACGGGCCCGGATTCGACCTTCTAAGCCAAGGCTCCATCTGCAACCCTCGCGACCAAGACCTATCGCCAAAGTCAGCCACCTCTGCTCATCGCCCCTCCCCCGACTCAAGGCTACCTCCTCAGAACCCCGCCTCAGGGTCTTCTCCCGGACTTTAGCGAGGTGCTCAGCTCGAGGGACGCCCCAGCTCAACGGTCTCCCTTCAAGGCCCCGCTCCTCAGCGCGCTCCTTCCACAGCGCCCCTCCCTCCCTCCCTCCGTCATCCCAGCTCGCCACCCGCTGGGGCTCCTCTTCGTTTTCCGCGCCTCAGCCCTCGCCCCGCCCCCTCGCCCTGAGCCCCCTCCAGGCCACGCCCTCTGGTCCCCCCACCTGTGAGCCCGCTCGTTCCCCGCCCTTCGGTCTTCGCCCCGCCCCCATTGCTCCCCGCCCCTCGTCGCCCTCTGTAGGCCTGCTCCCTCCCCGCCCTTCCACCCTCACCCTGCGCCCCGCCCCGGCCCCTTGGTCCTCGCCCCGCCCTCCTCGTTTGGCGCCAAACCCTGTGGTCAACGGCGCGCGGGTCTCCAGGCTCCGTGTTCTAGGCCCGAGTTAGAATCCTGTCAGCTGAGGAGGTCGGGCGGGGCAGAGGGGCTTCACCTTGAAAATCTCGGGGAGACTGTGGGTACGAGGGGGGTAAGTGGCAAAAACGAACAGCGTGCGAAGACTCTGAGGGGACGCTCGTTTTGAGAAGGCGCGCTTCCCTTTCTCGCTCCTTTTTTGGGGTCCCTGGGCTAGTGACTTTGAGCGTTCCGCTCCGACCTTTGGGGAGGAATTTTAGTGATCTTGAGGGATTTCCAACCTCATTTTCAATCGAATCGGACCTGAGTCTAGGAGAGCCCGCCTCATCCTCCTGACCAGGGAATCCGGTGTCAGGAAAATGTCCGGCGGCCGCAGGGGGTCTGCCCAGGCCTCCTGCTGAGGGAGGCGTCGAGGGCGACCCGACCGCGCTGCTGCCCCCACCAGAGGGGACAGCTGGGTCGTCTTAAACCGGGGGATTGGGGAGCCCTACTTTCAATCCAACGGTTCAGTCTATCAACGGCTCCTTGAGAGATGGGGGACAATCTTTTCATTTCATCACGGGGAGAAGAAATGAATGCTGTTTTTCTCTTCGATGGGGACAGTAAATGTGGAATTGGGGTACTCATAGCTAGCCATCTGAAGGACAGTGTCCCCGAAGATCCCATCCGAACGGTCTCGGTTGCCTTCCATCCTTTGCCGTTTGAGGTGCTGGGTGGTAGGACCCTGCTCCTGCCTTAGTATTAATGGTTCGTTCCCTTTGTTCTAGGGTCCAACCCCTGACTTTGGTATCAAATGAGGAAATGGAATCGACCAAGAAAAATGATGATTTGGACCGCATTTTATTGTAATAAATAAACACAATCACGCCTTGTGGATTCCTGAGATTTCTTTTTGAGTCTACAATGTTAAAAACTTTAACTGCTTATCAGCCTTAATATAATATTATGATCCACCAATTTTTTTTTTTTTTTTTGAGACTGAGTCTCGCACTGTCGCCCAGGCTGGAGTGCAGTGGCATGATCTCGGCTCAGTGCAACCTCCGCCTCCCAGGTTCAAGCGATTCTCCTGCCTCAGCCTCCCAAGTAGGTGGGATTACGGGCGCCCACCACCACGCCCGGCTAATTTTTTTGTATTTTTAGTAGAGACGGGGATTGGCCAGGCTGGTCTCGAACTCCTGACCTCGTGATCTGCCTGTCTCGGCCTCCCAAAGTGCTGGGATTACAGGCATGAGCCTCCACACCCGGACCACCATATTTTTAAATCTTAAAAAAATCATGAAACTAGTAAATACTGTGAAAGAAAGTATAGCTAATGTTCTATGAAACAAAAAGGTGGATGTTACAGGAGTACCCATTCATAATCAGCAGGCAGGAAGGCATTCATCATAGATGAGAAAAATAGAATCCATTTATTGAGGACAAAGTTGGAGGTGTCAGGGAGGACACAAGGAAGAATGATATAATGTCAAGGTTCCTAGAGTATTGTTGTTAAACATAAACAAGAAAGGTTAAAAGCAATATGCAATTCTAAATAACATTCAAGGCAGTAATAAAGTCATGATTAGCTGTGCAATGGAAACCAGATGATAAGTGATCACTGTTGGGGAAAGAGAAGAAACTAAATAAGCACCCCCCAATTTGCCCCTCAGGCATCTGTGTGCATGTGGGGACACACACACACATGCACACACACACACACACACACAAGAAATAATGTCACATGTCTCGCAGAAAGAAGATAGGCTGGCCTCATCTTTCCAAGCTAAATGCTTCTCTTACTGTCCTTCTAGTCCTTGTTGACTTTGAAATGAAATCAGAGGCCCCTGGACAAAGGACTACTTCTTACATAATATTTCTTATTTTCCCAGAAGTGATTATTTTTCTGTTGCCCACTTTTCAATATGAAGGAGGATCAAGTTGTGGCGGAAGAACCAGGATTCCAAGATGAAGAGGTATGACTAAAATGTTGAAAGATATATAGACATTCGATCATTCCGCAAAAATCAAGTTCCTTCCCTGTTAGCTACTATTTTTAGAAGCTGAAAGTAGAAATAACACATAGTTATATATTGCAAATATGTAACAACTTGTTTGGCAAGGATGCTAAGATTAGCTACTTAGCAACTGGTATGAAAGTATTTTAATGACTTAACAGCTGGTATGGCCATACTGGTACCTACACACACGGGTACCGAATAGCAGCCTGGTCCTAGAGGAAGGAGTTTAGGATCTGGAGGGGAAGAGGGTTGAGAAAACATATTTAAAATAGTTCAAATGTTGTTCCAGTCCTTTGGGTAAAGGTTTTAAAATTTTAGGGAGGACATGACAAAGGTAACTGGCTTCCCAGCCCTTTCAATGTTGGTGCTTCTTCTGTGTTTGAAAAACGGTATTGATCCTTCCTCAATCTCTAGAGAAGCGGAATTTGAGGCATTTTGGAGTGACTCATAGTATTGAATTACCTCTTTAAAAGATGTGAAATAGCTGGATATGAAGAATCAAAACTTCATTTTTTCTGTTTCATCTCCTTTAGGAATCTTTGTTTCAAGATATTGACCTGTTACAGAAACATGGAATTGTAAGTAGTTTTTCAATGCTGTGTTAAATTGTCTGATTCAGGATTTCTCAGCATCAACCTTATGGACATTTGGGCCTGGATAATTCTTTGTTGCAAGGGGACGTCCTGTGCATTGTAGGGTGTTTGCAACATCCTTGGCCTCTACTCACTCACTGCATGTCAGTAGCACCCCTGCAGCTGTGACAATCAAAATGTCTCCAGACATTGTCAAGTGTATCCAGAGGACAAAATTAAGTTCTATATGTCAGGCGACTGGAATAAATGATGTTGGCAGAAATCCAGCCTTTGAATAATGACCTGGGTGGATTTCAACAGCAATCAGTTGATAGTAAAACTGTGCTGACATTATCTGTTGTAGCCCTAACATTTAATCTCTTTCAGTGGTTTTAGAAAATAGAAGCAAGAGAAAATCCTGGTCCTTTGGTGATGTAGTTATTTGCATTCTCCAGGGGCAGAGGAAAAAAAAAATCTTTACAAATTTAAAAGAACATGTTGGTAATGAAGTTCTGTAGAAGGAAGGAGCTGAACTGAGGGGGTGAATGTGTGATAAATTTGTTAGCTTTTCCACCAACAGGCTTTTCTTTTGAATTCCTTGTTACATTGCCATGGTCTCACTAACATTCTTGGGAAATCAGGGCACAGTCAGAACATTTGGCAGCCTGCTGAGTATGTTCTACTCAGATATTTCCAGAACATTTGGCTACATGGTGGGTGGGTTCCACCTGGCAGCTTGTATAAAATTGGCATCATGGTGGAAGGAGATGGACACAGAAACACATGACATAGTATGGGAGCCTTGCAGGCTGGCATCTTATCAGTCTGCTGTGCCCATTCTTTAATTTACAGAACGTGGCTGACATTAAGAAACTGAAATCAGTAGGAATCTGTACCATCAAAGGTATACAGATGACAACAAGAAGAGCTCTATGCAATGTCAAAGGACTCTCAGAAGCCAAAGTAGACAAGATTAAAGAGGCAGCGAACAAACTAATTGTAAGCAAAATCCATTCTTTGCTGTTTTAGCTTGGCAGGGCCTTGTGAATCTTTATAGGCTTTCTCATGAAAACTAGAAATTATTGTGGGAACTGAGTTCCTGTAGATCACAGTATATTATACTCCCCATGTTAACTTTTTATCACTTCAGTTTCAAAGCAACAGCAATTGATTTCTGAAAGATGAAGGTAGGGATTAAGAGACCTGGAACACTAATGAAGGTAATTATTTTTGCCAAAACTTTTTGTCTCTCTTTATATTACTTTTTCTGGCTGTCTCTGCCTTTCCTTCTCCTTTCCTTTTTTTTTTTTTTTTCTGAGACAGAGTCTTGCTCTGTCGCCAGGCCAGAGTGCAGTGGCGTGATCTCAGCTCACTGCAACCTCCACCTCCGGGGTTCAAGCGAGTCTCCTGCCTCAGCCTCCTGAGTAGCTGGGACTACAGGCACACAGCACCACGCCCAGCTAATTTTGTATTTTTAGTAGAGACGAGGTTTCACCATGTTGGCCAAGATGGTCTCAATTTCCTGACCTCGTGATCTGCCTGCCCTGGCCTCCCAAAGTGCTGGGATTACAGGCATGAGCCACCATGCTCGGCCTTCATTTTTATTTTTTACCTTTCTCCTCCTCAGTTTTGTCTTGTCTCCTCAAATATCATACCTATGGCTGTTGTGAAGCACTGAGTACCAAAGAAGTTGCTCTCTCCTGGTATAGGAGATTGATATATAGCCAATTGATATAGCCAATTGATAAGAGAGCACTGGATTAGAAAAAGACCAACAGTGGTTGGGTCTACATATGTGCAGTTGAGATAGATATGACCAAGCATGTGCTCACTGAAGCAGCTGAGCTAAGCTAACCCATACTGATGCAGGGCAGGTGAGCCCCCAAATTGAGGCTTAACCTGGGAGGGTTCTTGGCTTTGCCCAAAGGTGAGCCAGTGGTGTTGGACAGCAACTTTTGTTGAAGCAGCCCAGTACAGTGCAGCAGAGGTACTGCTCCTTGCAGAGCAGGGCTACCTCATAGGCAGTATGCCCAGAAGTAGCAGCTCAGAGGCAGTTTTGCCATTATAGTTATACCCACTTTTAATTACGTGCAAATTAAGGGGCAGTTTATGCATAAATTTCTAGAAAAAGTGGTAATTTCTGGGTCATTGGGTCATTGCAATGGAAAGGGGCAGTAACTTCCAGGTGTTGCCATAGCAATGGTAAACTGACATGGCACATTGGTGGGCCATGTCTTATGGAAAGTTGCTTCTGCCCTGGACCCTGTTTTAGCTAGTTCTCAATTTGGTCTGGTGTCTGAGCCCCACCTCTGGAGTCAAATCCCCTCTCCTACCTTACTACTTTCTAGCAGGGCCCACTGACTGTGAGGGGCCTTTGCAACTGCCAGGCTGCCAGACAAAAGCCTATATACCTTTGACCCAAGCTTTTATGTAGAGCTTTTGGGAATCACTAGAGGTACCAGCTCTTGAAATAGGAAAGCAAAGAAAGGTAGTCACTAAGTCTTCCTCTTCATTTAATAGCAGGCCTCTCCATTTCTCTATTGGTATGTGAGGGTCTCATTCCCAGTGAGTCTGAGAAGCTCTCTTCACCAACGGCCATTTGGTTTCCTTCTTCAGAGGCAGCCAAGGCAGGAGAGTGATGCAAGTGGCAGTGTGATCCTGAACTTGGAGGGGACTCAACCGAACTGAATCACTCTGAACCCAGCTCAGTTGCTCTAGCTTCTGAGTACACTCAGGCAGTGTACCCACAAGTCAATTCCACAACTGCCAGGGTGTTGAAGAAAGCCCTGGAGCAGTACTCAGGGTTTGGGAAACTGCTCTATGACATTAGAGTTGTTTTCTTTGGAAATTAAATCTTATTACCAAAGAAAAGAACCTCTCTCTTTCTCAAGCACCCACTACTGCACCAAGAATCTTCTCCTTTCTTAGCTTAAACTGTTTATTCTTTTTTATTTGTATTTTTTAAGAGACGGGTATCAGGCCAGGTGCAGTGGCTTACGCCTGTAATCCCAGCACTTTGGGAGGCTGAGGCGGGCGGATCATGAGGTCAGGAGTTCAAGACCAACATAGTGGCCAACATAGTGAAACCCTGTCTCTACTAAAAATACAAAAATTAGCCAGGCATGGTGGCAGGTGCCTGTAGTCCCAGCTACTTGGGAGGCTGAGACAGGAGAATCACTTGAAACTGAGAGGCAGAGGTTGCAGTGAGGCAAGATCACGCCACTACGCTCCAGCCTGGGTGACACAGCGAGACTCTGTCTCAAAAGAAAAAAAAAGAGAGAGAGAGAAGGGTATCTCACTATGTTGCCCAGTCTGGGCTTGAACTCCTGGGTTCAAGTGATCCTCCTGCCTCTGCTTCTGAAGTACATGGGACTACAGGAATATGCCACTGTGCCCAGTTTTATTTATTCATTTATTTTTGAGACAAGGTCTCACTCTATCACCCTGGCTGGAGTACAGTGGCTCAATCACAGTTCACTGTGGCCTTGACCTCCCAGGCTCAAGCGATCCTCCCACCTCAGCCTCCTCAGTAGCTAGGACTACAGGCATATGCTACCATGTCCAGCTAATTTTTAAAAATTTTTGTGGAGGCCGGGCCTGGTGGCTCACGCCTGTAATCCCAGCACTTTGGGAGGCCGAGGCAGGCGGATCATGAGGTCAGGAGATCGAGACCATCCTGGCTAACACAGTGAAACCCTGTCTCTACTAAAAATACAAAAATATTAGCCGGGTGTGGTGGCAGGCGCCTGTAGTCCCAGCTACTCGGGAGGCTGAGTCAGGAGAATGGCGTGAACCCAGGAGGTGGAGCTTGCAGTGAGCTGAGATCGCGCCACTGCACTCCAGCCTGGGCGACAGAGCGAGACTCCATCTCAAAAAAAAAAAAAAATTTGTGGAGATGGGGGAGGGGTGGTCTTACTATATTGGCCAGGCTGGTCTTGAACTGCTGGCATCAAGCAGTCCTCCCGCCTCAGCCTCTCAAAGTGCTGGGATTACAGGTGTGAGCTACTGCACCCAGTTGTTTATTCTTAGAGATAGAGAAAGTGATTGAGAGAGAGAGAGAGACAGAGAGAGAGGAGAGAAAGAAAGGAAGTTAATTTCATAATACGGTGGTTCTAAACACTGATGTGTATCAGAATCACCTGGTGTGGCTAATAAAGAAAACAGAAGCCCAGACTTGGCTCACTCAAGTAGGATAGGACCTGGGCTTGGCTGTCCCCATTCTCCAAGTTCTCCAAAGTTTAAGAACCACAGTCATAGTATAAAACAACAAAGAGGGACACCCATTAGACTACATTGGGGCCCATTTTCACTAGTCCTCCACTGCATCAGCTGTACCTTTTTAATCAGTCAATAAGTAGTATATCTACCATGTGAAAAATGTTGTCTCAAGAATAATGAAAACTGGAATTTCTGTGCCCCTTGAAACTTCTACAGCTGGAAAAAAAATGATGCTGTTGAATGAAAAAAAGTGAATTGTTAGTAAAATACCCTCTGCTTTATGCCATAATTATATCTCATTTGGCTGGGCACGGTGGCTCACGCCTGTAATCCCAGCACTTTGGGAGGCCAAGGCAGGTGGATCACCTGAGGTCAGGAGTTTGAGACCATCCTGGCCAACATTGTGAAATCCCATCTCTACTAAAAATACAAAAAATTAGCCGGGCATGGTGGCAAGTGCCTGTAATCCCAGCTACTTGGGAGGCTGAGGCAGGAGAATCACTTGAATCCAGGAATATGTGTATATATATGTGTATATGTATATATGTGTGTATATATGTATATGTATATGTGTATATATGTATATGTATACACATATATGTATATATGTGTATATAACGTGTGTATATATGTGTACATGTATATGTGTGTATACATATGTGTGTGTGTGTATATATATATAATTTAATTTTCACAGCTACTCCTTGAAGAAACACTGTTGCATGTTTGACCCAAAAGAGGAAGCTGATGTATAGCAAGATTAAGTAGTTTACTCCATATCATAGAACTAATAACTATTAGAGACATGATTTGAACCTAGAAAGGGCAGCTCTAAAGCCTGTGTTCCTAACCATAATCTTGTACTGCCTTCAAGGACAAGTGAACTGTAGCTTATACCAAATGATGATCTTAATAACTGAGTATATCATTTTGGGCAACATTTGAAAATACAACCATGATCTTTAAACTCTTTTTGAACATTTCCTTTTATCTTTCTGTAGGAACCAGGATTCTTGACTGCATTTGAGTATAGTGAAAAGAGGAAAATGGTTTTCCATATCACCACCGGGAGCCAGGAATTTGAGTATGTATCTTACTTTTTTATAATCACTAAGCATAATCTTTGGAATACCATGTTTCTTTTCCTCTTTCTGGTTACTTCTACTATAAGTAGTAGAAGTAGCTTCTTCATTTGAAGTTTGGGTTTGTTTGTTTTTTTTTCTAAATGATAACTGAAACAAATTCTAGACTGCTTGGAGGAGCAAGATTAAATGTCTTACAAGAAATTCAGACCCAAAATCTAGTTTCTGAATCAGCCAATATTAATCTCAAACCACTTTTAAAAATCAGTTTAACTTTTCATTTACTTTCCTTCTCCATATGAAGGATGTTTCATTGCACATTTTGGGTTTACTCAAAAAGCAATTGTTAGATTAAATATTTCAGAAATATTGCAGTTATTTTTGCTCTTCTGCAGGAGAAGTTTTAACATCCCTTTTTATTTACTCTTTTATGATCCCCAAGACATATCATCATCTTCTCAATGCAAGTTTACTAAAATGTGGGTTTTTTCTCCCTACCTTACTAGAAAGAATTAGTGTTTCATGTGTTACAGCAGTGCCCAAGAGCATTTAGAACAAAAGCAGTATTTCCTCTAAGTATTTCTCAAAATGCTGGCCTCACAAGATACATTAAGAAAAAAAGGATTTCATAGTCAAATATACCTCCACTTGAACGTCTAATTGATAGCTCAGACTTCACAGGTCCAAAAATCAAACTTCTGACCTTTGCCCCAAATCTGCTTCTCCCAAAGTCTCCCTCATCTTAGATCTATCTCTTTCCTGATCCTCTGACCTAAAACCTGGGTGTTATCCTTGACATCTTTTTTCTCTCACACACCCTAACTCTAACCCATTAATAAATCCTGTCTGTTCTAATTTCAAAATATATTTAGTCAGAACAAACCTCCCAGTTTCCTCAACAAATAAATTACAAGGAGGAAAAAAGAGATGGAGTCAGGGAGAAGACCTATAGATTAAAGAGATTTAAAAGACATATCACCTGGCCGGGTGCAGTGGGTGACACCTGTAATCCCAGCACCTTGGGAGGCCAAGGCTGGAGGTGGGGAGGGGATCTCTTGAGATCATCCTAACGGCAAACTGAGACCTTGTCTCTACAAAAAAAAAAAAAAATTAATTAGCTGGGTGTGATGGTGCACACCTGTAGTTCTAGCTACTCAGCAGTCTGAGTGAGATAGAAGGATTGCTAGAGCCCAGGAGGTTGAGGTTGAGGCTCTAGTGAGCCGCGATCATGCCACTGCACTCTAGCCTGGGTGACGCAGAGAGAAACCTTGTCTGAAAAAAAAAAATTAAGGAATTACTAAATTTAAGTGTGATAGTGGGAATATGGTTGTTAAAGATGAGAGTCTTCATCTTCATCTTTTAGGGATACATACTGAAATATTTATAATGAAATGATATGTTGCTTAGTATATGCTTAAAATAATATGGGAAGGGAGGTAAATGGTTAGTGGTCTATATGAAAAAAGATTTACCCTGAGTTCATAGTTGACGATTGTTGAAGCTGAGTGATAGACACGATGGTTCATTATTTTTTTTCTACATTTGTTTATGCTTGATATTTTCTATAATAAAAGATTAATATATAATATATGTTATTTTTATGTGTATATGTGTGTGTGTACATAGAGAGTGAGAATATAATTCAACTATTTCTTACCACCTCTACTGTTACCTCACTGGACTAAACTACCACCTATTAATATCTCCCCTGGATTATTATAATAACCTCTAATTAACCTCCCTCCTTGAGACCTTGCCCCTACTGTTTTGTTTTTTTTTTTAATTCACTAAAGAGCCAGAATGGTCACTTTAAAACATAGGTTAGGCTGGAATGCAGTGGCTCATAACACCCTGATGATTCCCCCTCTCACTCAGAAAAGAAGCCAAAGTCCTCTCCCATCTCTAATATTTCACTTTTCTAGTTTTCTATGTACCAGCCATAGTGACCTCTTTGCTATTCCCAGAATATGTCAGATACACTCCTGCATCAGGGCCTTTGCACTTTGTGCTGCCTCTGCCTATCATATTCTTTCCTCTTAGATCTACATGGCTTGCTGTCATCTCTTTCAGGTCTTGGCAAAAATGTCCATGTCTCAATGAGAACTTCTCTGATCACTTTATTTGACAGTATAACCTCCTAACTTTCATACTCTGTCTTCCTTGTCCCCTTTCCTGGCCTTATTTTTATCCATACCATTTAATAACATCTGATGTACTACATATTTTACTTATTTGTGTTTATTTTTTATTTTATTTATTTATTTTTTTTTTCAGACGGAGTCTTGCTCTGTCACCCAGGCTGGAGTGCAGTGGCATGATCTCAGCTCACTGCAACCTCTGCTGCCCAGGTTCAAGCGATTCACCTGCCTCAGCCTCCCGAGTAGCTGGGATTACAGGTGCCCGCCACCACGCCCGGCTAATTTTTGTACTTTTAGTAGAGACAGGGTTTCAGCATCTTGGCCAGGCTGGTCTTGAACTCCTGATCCCATGATCCACCGCTTCAGCCTCCCAAAGTGCTGGGATTACAGGTGTGAGCTACCGGCGCCTGGCCTATTTGTGTTTATTATCTAATCTCTCACTAGATTGTAAACTTCGTGAGAGAAAAAAATTCTGTCTCTTTTGTTCTCTAGTTTATCCCAAGTGCACAAAACAATCCCTGGCATAAACTAGGTGTGCAATAAATATTTGTTGAATGACTAAATGAATGAATAAACAAATAGTGAATAAGTTTGAGAAGTACCATATACTATATATTCTTCTTGAAGAGTCACAGCGCACACTAGCCTGTGAAATCCTGCAGTGACACAAAACACCTGTTTTGGCAGGGCACGGTGGCCCACACCTGTAATCACAGCACTTCGGGAGGCCAAGATGGGTGGATCACCTTAGGTCAGGAGTTCTAGACCAGCCTGGCCAACATGGTGAAACCCTGTCTCTACTAAAAATTACCAAAAAAATGGCTGGGCACGGTGGCTCACACCTTTAATCCCAGCGTTTTGGGAGGCCGAGGCGGGTGGATCACTTGAGATCAGGAGTTCGAGACCAGCCTAACCAACATGGAGAAACCCCGTCTCTACTAAAAATACAAAAAATTAGCCGGGCATGGTGGCATGTGCCTGTGGTCACAGCTACTCGGGAGGCTGAGGCAGGAGAATCGCTTGAACCTGGGAGATGGAGGTTGTGGTGAGCCGAGATCGTGCCACTGCACTCCAGCCTGGGCAATAGAGTGAGACTCAGTCTCAAAAGAAAAAAAGAAAAAGAAAATACCTGTTTAACCCAGCATTGTCCCAGACTTTTAAAATCACATACCCTTTTTTCAAGTAAAGTTAAGGAAGAGGCTTGGAGAAATCCTACCCCTAGGCAAATTGGTCAAAATGAGGTTGATCAACAAAACACTTGATTCAAATGACAATCTGATTTTCTTTAGTTACTCTACCACATGGTGGTCTAAGAACCACTGGGCTAAAGAAATAATTACTGTTATTGTGAGTTTTCTGGTGCCCTTGATGTTTGCTCTTGAGAACAGAAAAGATCATTCAGGAGCTAGGTTTTTTTTTGTTGTTTGTTTGCTTTTGAGACAGAGTCTTGCTGTGTCGCCCAGGCTGGAGTGCAGTGGCATGATCTCGGCTCACTGCAACCTCCGCCTCCTGGGTTCAAGCAATTCTCCTGCCTCAGCCTCCTGAGTAGCTGGGACTACAGGTGTGTGCCACCACACCGGGCTAATTTTTGTATTTTTAGTAGAGACAGAGTTTCACCATGTTGGCCAGGCTGGCCTCGAACTCCTGACCTCAGATGATCCACTTGCCTCGGCCTCCCAAAGTACTGGGATTACAGATGTGAGCCACTGCGCCCAGCCAGGAGCTAGGTTTTTAAAAATTAATATTTAATTAATTAAAATATTATACATTTTTCCTTAAGCTTTAAGTCCCTTTATAAATCTAGCACATTTTAAGGGTGCTTTTATAACAAGATTAAATTCTCTTAAACATTTTAATTATGTTTATACATTTAGTGTATTGTATTTTCTTTAAGAACTTTATTTGTTGGCCAGGTGCACTGGCTCACACCTGTAATCCCAACACTTTGGGAGGCTGAGGCGGGTGGATCACAAGGTCTCTACTAAAGACAGGATCACCCTGTCTCTACTAAAAATACAAAAATTAGCCGGGCATGGTGGCGGGTGCCTGTAATCCCAGCTACTCAGGAGGCTGATGCAGAGAATTGCTTGAATCCAGGAGGC